>NC_000009.12:31222121-31373636 GCF_000001405.40 Homo sapiens | reverse complement strand
ACCTAATGTAAGTGACAAGTTAATGGGTGTGCAGCACACCAACATGGCACATGTACACATATGTAACAAACCTGCACGTTGTGCACATGTACCCTAGAACTTAAAGTATAATAAAAAAAATTAAAAAGAAAAACCTTCAGATTTTGACAGACCACGAGAGCAACAAAACCACAGCTTATTAGTCATTTTTCTGGGCATGAGTGTCAATGACTGAAATACTCTGATAGGTGTTTTTGAGGTGGCCCGTTCACTTATAATTAGGGAGATTCCAGAAAGAATTAATGTCTAGAAAAAATTAATATTTGCTAGACAATGTCATAGTCATTCAAGTACATCTCAATCTCAAGTTACTTCTCAATATATTGGAAAGGCACAATGAGACAGTAGGTCCCCTAAGCAGGCAGTTTTCTTCCAGAGGTCACTGGGTAATACTTCAAGTCCTTTTAAGTGCTTGCATCCAGAATATTATTTCAATAAGCAGCCTCTAAACTGTTATTATTGCTTCTTTCTACCACTGAATGAAAGATGTCCATTCTGACGAGTGCATTGATTGTGAGGTTTATAGCATGACACTTTGCCAACAATTCACCTTGCTCTGAATATTCCCAGACAATGGAGCGGCAGAGGAGTACTGAGTCATTTCTGACTAGGCAGAGGGCATATTTCATAACAGAGACTTAGCTCCCTTGAGATTCCCATGACTACTCATGTTCTTCATCCTTCATATTACATAAACCTGAAAAATATCAAGATGGCTGGCTTCATTCAGCAGTATCTGCCATAACGGAGAAAGACTAGACTTTCGACTTATGAAGGAAAGTTTTAGTGTCCATTACAAAATAATAAATATTCATGTTTATATTCTAGAATAGCAGGGATCAGATGGGTTTTGAAATCACTTACAAGAATGTGAAATTATAAATGCCAGGATACAATATGTGTGAGTACACAAATGGCTTTAGAATTTACTGTCTGGACCAAATAATCAATGATATCCCTAACACGATTATTTTTAATGTTTGTTTTAGCAGTAACTGTGATACTGTTTACATTTCCCTGGAATGCCTAAATGGAGTTAAACACAGGTGTAGTTGCAATATGATAAGGAAAAGGATCATGAGCAGTTTATGTTCTCAGAGTTTCACATATAAGGATACCATGTCTTTCTGATAATAAAGCTTTGCTTATTTCTATGTTGATATATTTGGTAAAAATACAGAAATATGATGAAATTTTCTGGTCATATTGCATTAAAAGGCATAATTTCAATTCAGTGTTTGTAATTCTATTACCGTTTCTTTAATTTCATTTTATTTTTCTCCATATTAAGTAATAAACCGTGTTTAAATATAGTAATAGCAAAGAAAAAGATAAAGTCACGTGCACACTCCCAGGTCAGTCTCTACAATGACGCTATCTTGTTTTCTCTTTTTCTAGAAATCTCCGGCATAAAAGACATTGGAACTAAGAAATGTGTTGATTAAAAAAATATAGGAAGTGACAGCAGGAACACAGTACTACCTTAATTACCAAAGCCATTTCTAACTTTGGGTGTCAGCTAATACTTATTCTGCCTAGGTGGTGTTCTGATTTATATGAGTGTCTGAAAGATATAATGTCTTTCCCAGAGGACTTTATTAGAATCTAATGATTCAACTTGAATGCAGAAAACATAAAAATGTGTGTGTTCAGGAAAGGCAGAAGCTGGAGGTAAGTTGTGGGGAGACACACTTAGTGAGACAGATGAGTCCAGGCCTGAGGCACCTCAACCCATCCACATTCTTCTTCCACTATTAGTTTTATATTTTCTTCATAAAAGCAAGATTTTTTTTTCTCAGAAAGATATATGTGCTTTTCATGTCTGCATTCTGATAAGGAAAATAGTCAAGAGAAATCATGAAAGTATTAAAGAATGGCCACTAATTGAATTACTTTAGACAATAAAAATGCAGCTGTTCTTTGCACCCAAATGAGTGTTACCATTCAATTTTTCAAATAAAGTTAAAAAAGGAGTAATTTTTGCTCACAAAGGGAGTGATGGTTTAGTAACTTTAATATTGGGAAATTCAAATTAGCTTTATGCAGCATAGTCCTTGAAACAAAACCTGGAAAGAATTCTATTAGACTTCTACTATCCTAGTAGAAAGCAGAAAGAGCAATATTGCATGAGAACACAGGGGAAAAACTACACAACATTGATCTGGGAAATGATTTGTTTTAGATTTGACACCAAGAGCACAGGCAACAAAAGCAAAAATAGACAAATTGGATTATATCTAAATGAAAAGCTTCTGCATAACAAAGGAAACAACACAGTGAATATACAACCTACAGTATGGGAGACAATGTTTGCAAGCTGTAGATCTGTTAGAGATTAATATCCAAATTATATAAGGAATTCAAACAGTTCTACAGAAAAGAAACAAATAATCCAATTTAAAACTGGTCAAAGGTTCTGAATATACATTTCTCAAAAGAAGACATACAAATGGACAGCAGATGTAGGAAAAATGCTCAACATCACTAATAATTAGTGAAATGCAAATTAAAATCACAATGATATAACACATCATATCTTTCAGAAATACTATTGTAAAAAAATGAAACATAACAAGGGTTGGTGAAGATGTGGAGAAAAGGCAACCCTTGTACATTGTTGGTGGATAGTTAAGTTTGTATAGTCATTTATGAAAAACTGTATGGTGGTCCCTCAAAAAAACAAAAATAGAATTACTATATGAATCGGCAATCTCACTTCTGGGTATTTACCCAAAAGATTTACAATCAATGTGTTGAAGAGATGCCTACACTCCAGCATTCCTTGCAGTAATAATCACAATAGCAAAATTGTGGAACCAACCTAAGTGTCCATCAGCAGATGAACGGACAAACAGAAAATGGTATATATTCACAATGCAATACCACACCACCTTACAAAAGAAATATGTTCTGTCATTTTTAACAAAATGAATGGAATTGAAGAAAATTATGCTATGTGATATATACTGGACAAAGAAACAGAAATATCATGTGTTCCAACTCATATGTGGAATCTGAAACATCCAAACTCATAGAAGCAGAGAGCAGAATGGGGCGGGGGATGAGAGAATGGGGAGATGATGGTCAAAGAGCACATAGCCTCAGTTACACAGGAGGAATAAGATTTTTTTTTAGATTTATCGCACAGTGTGGTGAATATAGTTAATAATGTACATTTTTAAATTACTAAGAATAAATTTCAAACATTCGCACCACAAAAGGATAAATATTTGAGGTGATGGATATGTGAGCTTGTTTTAATTATTACATGTTGTATTTATAAATCATAACATCACTTTGTACTACATAAATATATGCAACTATAATTTGTTAATTTATAATAAAAATATTTAAATCTGAAATGTGGGTGAATAGTTTTTATATGAAATGTGGCACTGCAGAACTTCCTGTAATTTATTAAATAACACGGTTCTAGTTTCATATTTTTCTGAAGAGAGAGAAAAATGTGCTTGCTATTATGGTGAGTGTTAGGCGGCATAGATTTAAAGGGAAACCGCATTAAGGGACTTCCGAAAGATTTCTTTGCTCTTACCTCTAACTACGGTGTCTCCCTTAGTGCTGTCATCTACTATTTTGACTTATAAAACCACTTCCATGAAAAGGGCTCTGACTCATCCACTGAGATCCAAATTTATATACGCAGTAAGTAGGATTGCTTAAAATTCCATCTTAGAGTCACAATGACAAACACGAGCTTATGATTTCTCCCCTTCTACTGACCACTAATGTATTCTCCTTCTAGTCTTCCCTAATGCAACAAATAAAACCATCTAGTAGCTCTATTCAAAACCCCCAAAATCTAGGACTTCAATAATCACACAGCTATTGAATTACCTCACTTCTTTCGAGCCTCACAGCTACTGTCCTGGCCCAGACTTCTTTATTTCTTTCCTTAATACTACAACACTCACTTTAGAAGTTGCACTGTTATATCTCTAGCTCCCTGAACTGTCTGTTTTCCATACAGAAACAAGAATGATCTGTAAAACGTAAACAAATCCAGATTACTCTTCTTGGTGAAAGTCCTCTGCCTCTTAACCACAGCACCTGAAATAAAATCAATTTTCCTTACTTTGGCCTCCAAGTAGCAAAAGACTTGACTACCTGATTTTAAATTTATTCCACAGCACTCTTCCTCTGACCTATCAGGCTCAAACCCATGGTATCTTTCTATTCTTCAAACACCAAGCTCATCTTTATCCTAGAGCCTCTGTGTTTGTCCATCTAGCTTGCCTTTCCTTCAGCTATTTCTTGTCTTTCATCTTTCAGGTAAATGGCACTTTGGCAGTAAGGCCTCACCTCACTGCCCACTATAAATGCCCCCCTGCTGTTCCAACCTATCCCAACACACCCTATTACATAATCCAGATTTCCATTCTTCGTTAATCTCATTTATCACTGTTTGGTTTTATGCTGTGCTTTGTTTTTGTTTGTTTGTTTTTTGAGAGAGAGTCTCTCTCTGTTGCCAAAGGCTGGAGTGCAATGGCCTGATCATGGCTCACTGCAGCCTCAAACTCCTGGGCTCAAGGGATCCTCCTGCCTCACTCTCCCAGGTAGTTGGGACTACAGGTGCTCATCACCACACCTTGCTATTTTTGTTTTTGTTATTTTGTAGAAAGACTTCTCAGTATTTTGCTCAGGCTAGTCTTGAACTCTTGTTCTCAAGCGATGCTTCCACTTTATCCTTCCAAAGTGCTGAGATTATAGAGGTGAGTCACTGCACCCGACTTTTATGTCGTACTTTGAACAGGGATGTGTCTCTCTGTTCACCACTGCGTCCTTGGAGACTAGAAACATCATGACACAATTATAGGATAATTGTAGAAGACAAACACATATTTGTTTTTTTTAAATTTATTTATTTTTATTATACTTTAAGTTTTAGGGTACATGTGCACAACGTGCAGGTTAGTTACATATGTATACATGTGCCAAGTTGGTGTGCTGCACGCAGTAACTGGTCATTTAACATTAGGTATATCTCCAAATGCTATCCCTCCCCCTTAAAAATCAACACATTTCCTTGTAAATGCATTTAAGTTCAATTAGTTGACTTATTTATATTGTATATCAAATTCTGTTGATCTTCCATTTTGAACTTTGTAGCTGCTTTATTTCCATCATAATTAGAATTTTCTTGAAAATATTTGCTTTATCTTAGTATAAATTATCAATATTTCCCTACAAAATTTGCAGCACTCTTTGTTCCAAAACACCGTTTTTAGTGAATTTCCTCATATCATGTCAACTTTATTTTCTGTATTTCTTCTCAGTGTTTACCAATAAGATAGGCCAATCTGTGTTTTGTTACTATTCTATTTTATTAACATATGTATTTTGTTTCTGATAAGTTGAACATTTGTCCACAGGTTTGAGGCTATTCACATATCTTCATCTGTCAAATGCTGCTTGTCTCTCTGATCATTTTTCTAGAAATTTTGTTCACCATTTTATTTAAAATACTGGAAATTAATAATTATGAAAATGAAATATCCCTATTACAAAAATTCAATTGTACTAAATGTAAATGATCTTTATACCATTATATATTAGAAAACTTTGCATGATACACATGTAACAATTAATATCTTTCTTACTCTTTGCCACTGCAAATCACTCATTTGCTCTGCCACAATTCTTACATAGAAGTTGGCCCAGCGTAACCCCAAGGGTTTCAGTAAAATGACAGCTCTGGCTCATATAACTTTATGCCTCTTCTGGGTTCAAAAGCTCTTTGGGTGCACATATTCTTATAAGTAAAATGCATTTTTTAAGCTATGGCAAGACAGAAAATAAAAGTAGAAATATGTTGATGTTACAAATTTAAATGACTGAATATAATAAAGGCAAATAATTAGATTATGAGTGAGTAAAATTGACATATTAGACAAATTTTAACATGAATTGATAAATAAGAGTTCTTGACATTGGTATATTGAAAGTGTTAATAAAAAAGTACATATTTGTTAGGTTAGGATATGCAGTGATAACAAACATTCCCAAATATGAGTGGCTTAACAAAACAAAAGTTTATCTCTCATTCATGCTACATTTTCTCAGTGTTCTTTGTCCACACTGTCACTCAGGGATCCAGCCTGATGGAAACTCCAGTGTCTAATAACTGCACCAGCTGGATCATTCAGCCTCCTAGTTGCTATATCAAGGGAAGACACTCTGAAGGGATCATGCTAACTCTTCAATGTTTTGATACACAATAGACATACGACATCCCTATTCTTAGCCTATTAGACAGCATGGGTCATCAGCCCTATCTTGGAATCAGAAGGAGCCGTAATAAAAACCTTAGTGTGCCTCCACAATCTTTGCCATAACATATAAGATTATATTATTTCTAGTATGATTAATACACAAAAAGTTAACACTTCTATTTTTAGCAAAGTCCCTTCATCAATATCTTATTTTATCTTTGGGTGGGAGGCTAAAAACAATGTTGTAAATAATATAGACGTATGCATCTTTTAAAAGTATTACTTGAACTCTATAATCCAAAAACAATTGGATAAATGAGCAATATTATCAAATAAAAGAGGAGGTTTTTTTTTCCCCTTTGGCTCATGTTATTCAAGTTTACTAAAAATTTAGATAAGATATACACTGCCATATACTGATAAAAAAGTATCTGTTTAAAAATTGAAGTTCAGTTTATTAGTTTTTTAAAATACAGTTTATGCTTTTGGTGTTCTAAGAAATCCTTGCCTACTCAAAGGTAACAAAGCTTTTCTCCTATATTTTCTTCTACACATGTTATAATTTTGGGTTTTAAATCTGGGTCTATGATCCATTTTGAGGTAATTTTTGCATATGATTTTCAGTAAGCATTAATGTTTATTTTGAACATTACTTATTAAAAACACTTATTCCCTCAAAATAATAAAAATTGAAAATTTTTGGCTATTCTAGAAGAAATATTAGTGTTTTATGGATCAATTTATACTTGATAACAAGTATATTTTGCCTCCCAAACAGAAAGTAATTATTTTATATGTCAAAATATTGCTTTGCTCTAGTTTTCTGATAGAGAATTGTCTCATTCCACTTACCTTAAAAATTATTCTGATGCTTTTTGTGATGCAATTTATAATTCATTTATGGACATCTTTATTGTTCCTGTAAAAGTTAATATAGATTCTATTTTGCACTGTATTTTTTGAATGATAACTTTATATGATTAACCATTTTTCAGAGTGAAAATAAATAATAGAGGATTTCAAAGTAAGTAAAATAGAGAAGTAAATGCAAATTTAAACAAATATGGATAGGCTTTGGTCATTTTGCAGAATATATTCACATATTCCACACATTTTTAAATGACTTGAAAATTTCTTTGAGGTATTTTACTTAAAGATTGGTGAAATAATAGGTAGATTTTTCATTGTGGTTTTTGCTTCCTTTCTCCATCTGATTTTTATTGTATAACTTTTAAATTATACATCATGATTTGAGTGCCTGTACTTTCTGCAGATGCACACATACATACAACATTGCTCTGCTATCAAAGAAGGTACTACAGTTACTCTTAATTAAATCGGTCTTTACCTGAGAAAGAAGAAATAGAAAAAAAATCAGTTAGAAAAGTTGTAGGGGAAATGGTAACGCATATAACATAGCTAGAAAAAGGAGAAACCCATGACAAAAGAGAAATGAGAGTGACATCATGCAATGTCACAGGCTATTTTGCATGAAGTTCATCCTGAACATAAAGGCAAGACCTCTAGAAACCAGAATAAGAGCACTAGATTTCCACAGAGATCAAGGTAGATGAAAGAAAATAGATAATTTTGTATCTTGGGCACTTAAAAGAACAAGAATTAATTACGAGTTGATGAAGAGGAAAATAAAGGTGAAAAACCTGAGTACATTGCAAATTTGAATTTAGTAAGTTATATTTTGTAAATTACTTAACCACAGCATGTCAACCAAATATTTACTTCCAGGCTAATATATTTACTTTGTGTACCAAACTCCTGCTACCAGTGTGTATGTACGAGAGAGGATAAAATGAAGGAGGGAAAGGAGAGAGGAGAGAGGTGAGGGAGGAAGCAAGATGAGAGAGAGAGAATTTTATATCTTCTGAAAAAAATTAATAATTTGTTTGGTATTTGGTCCGGATTTTGGAGTGAAGACCCAAAGGTATTAATAGTAATTGCCATTTCATCTTTTTTCCTTGGAAGGTTTCTAATTCCAGGGAACAAATAAACAAACTGAATGCTCCAAAATGTATCCCTAGAAGCTCAGGATTCTCTTTCTTATATGTGCATGATTCAAAATTTTGGGGAAAATAAACTCCTATTTAGACAAAAAAATTAATGTTTACAGAAATAGTGCAAAATAAAATTATTTTGATTCCACGTACATCTCTGAAGGGTTAACTTAAATTTATGGTATTATTCCATCATAATAACTAGTCTGTAGGTTTGTTTTCACTAAATATGGCATATTTTCTCAACAGTTTAGCTTTGAATAATGCCTAATTGCCCCAAAGTCTTCTAGTTCAGAAATCTAGAATTGATGGCTTATTCTTCACTTTTCAATTTTATGTTCACTAAATTCTGTCACATCTTCCTTTGAAAATTCCTTAGTACTCACACCTCACTCTCATTTCCAAATTATATTTTCATTTTCTATGTTTACACCTTTCTTCAGAAGTGCTCTTTGATGTTTTTATTTAATATTCTTACTTCCATCAATTATGCAAATATTTTCTCAATATAATTCAGAGATTACTGTTTCTAAAATGAATTATTATTGCAAGAACCCACTGTTTGACTCACTCTCCTCAACACTGTTTCTTTGCTAAGGAGAATATGATTTGAATTCAGGTCTTGATACTGTCATTACAATCAAGTCATTTAAAGTTTTAAGAGCATCAGTTTTCTCAATAGCATTAGGAGAAATACTTAATGTAGATGACGGGTTGATGGGTGCAGCAAACCACCATGCCACAGTTATACCTATGTAACAAACCTGCACATTCTGCACATGTACCCCAGAACTTAAAGCATAATTTTTAAAAAATTACCAAAACTGGAGTGAATATCTGAAATCCCATTCAGCATTACATACTGTGGTGCTATGATATTATTGTCTACACAATTAAGCTTAAACTCTGACTTTCAAATTTCTACTAAAATTCACACACCTTATATTTCCAGTCCCATTTTTACTGCAGCCTAACATATATTCGCTGACATAGGTAAATTAATCTTCTTCTCTAACCGAACCCTGTGTGTATCTATCCGATTTGACTTTGACAGTTATGACCTCTGACAGAATGTTTCCATCTCATCTCCAAATCTTCCTCTCCATCGAAGTCCAGAAATGAATCTGCACTGTCGTCTATTAGCAAAATATTACTTAATTAGGTGTTTTCCACCTTTAAAGTATTATTTTCTATTTTATATTATTACAATATCAATTAATGAAGTAATTGAATATACATCATTTTCTCTCAATGAACATTCCCTCCTTTTCATCCCCACTTCTATATCTTACCTTTTTTAGGGAATCTGAGCTAAATTATATATATTAGAAATTACATATATATGGTATGCTTTTTCCCTTAGTTTCTTTGTCAACTGAAATGGTACTTGCCCTGACATCTTCTCTTCCTCATGTGTTGAGAAAATATGTCTATGTTTCTGGCTTTCTAATGCTTTTACAAAATATGCATGTAAAATGACATTGGAAGCTTTTAATGCATCTGTTAAGTTTTACTTTTTACTGGTTTTATTGTTGGTTTGCATTAAAATGTTTTATTGTATCATTTTAATATTCTTGGATCTATCTTCCTTGTAGTTAAAAATTGCTCCCATTAGTCAGCAATTTATTTATTTTTATTTATTTATTTATTTATTTATTTATTTTTTGAGAGGGAATCTTGCTCTGTCGCCCAGGCTGGAGTGCAGTGGCGCGATCTTGGCTCACTGCAAGCTCCGCCTCCCAGGTTCACGCCATTCTCCTGCCTCAGCCTCCCGAGTGGCTGGGACTACAGTCACCCACCACCACGCCTGGCTAATTTTTTGTATGTTTAGTAGACACGGGGTTTCACCATGTTAGCCAGGATGGTCTCGATCTCCTGACCTCGTGATCCGCCCGCCTTGGCCTCCCAAAGTGCTGGGATTACAGGCATGAGCCACCGTGCCCGGCCTATTTTGTTTCGCTAATGTTTTATTAAGGATTAGACTGTATTCCTGTGTATTCTCCCGTGGCACACTGCACACCCATCACTCTGCTTTCATTACTGGTTTAGTTATCTGTCTTCCTTGCTTAAATGTAAGATTAACAAGGTTATAACTAAGATATGGACATAATGTTATTGCTGATAACTGTAGAAGCACAGTGGAGATGTTTTCTGAAGTGGTTATTTTATATTTGACATTATATATTCGAAATATCAAATAAGACTAGATACCAAGCACTTAGCCCGCCCTATTCTGTCCCCTCACTTAATTGTTGTGACTTGTGACTTTGTCATTCTATTATCTTGTACACGGATATCTTAAAAACATTATTATATACCATTCCATTAAGAAAGTAGTTTTATGTTGTTGTTGTTTTATTTTGTTTTGTTTCAGTTTAGAAAAAAAATCTTTGGACCTGGTTTTGATCAAGGAGAAAAGCAAGGGAATTCAATCCAGTGTTTAGATATTTACTTCATATTTCATGTGTGTTCTGATAATAAAATGCTGGCAAGTAGTTAATAGAAAGAACTAAATGCAATGAAGGTAAAATGAAAATATTATAACCAAGTGAAAGATCTGCATTTAAATCATTTAGCTCAAAATATCTTTAGTTATTAAGAAACTCCTAAACATTAGATTATATAATATCAATTAATTACTAAAAGGAATTATGGTTATATGTCAATTCTGATCCTCTTAGTAACTATGTAGGCCAACATATCATATGTAAATATGCGGTTGTGTGTATCCAGATATTTTTATTCACTAACGTCATTTTTTTCTCAAGCATTTTTAATAACAACAACATTAAATGATGATTATACCATAACTTATTTAACAAGCTCCTGTGGAAAATAGTGGCGGTTTCTCGATTTTTAATGTTATAAACAAGGATGCAATGAATAATTATATGCACATATCTTTCTGTACCTTTAATTTTTGCCTTCTTAAAGTACTCGAAGTCAATTGATGGGCCAAGGAAATTCTCAATTAAAATAAAACTAGCTGATTAGGACTCTCTTATTTTGCCTAGTGACATAATGGCATTTTGTTCTTCTGCTATCTTTCTTTATGGAGAGTTCTTAATAATTTAAAGATGTGTCTGGGCACGCCTGTAACCCCAGCACTTTGGAAGGCCGACGTGGGCGGATCTCAAGAGTTAGAGACCAGCCTGGTCAACACGGCAAAACTCGGTCTCTACTAAAAATAACAAAATTAGCAGGGCACGGTGGCACGCACCTGTAATCCCAGCTGCTTGGGAGGCTGAGGCAGGAGAACCGCTTGAACCTGGGAGGTGGAGCTCGCGGCGAGCAGAGATCCTGCCTCTGCAACCCAGCCTGGGCGACAGAGCAAGACTCCGTCTCAAAAGAAAAAATATTTTTTATACCTTTAAAGAAGACATACTATTACTACGTCTCTATGAGCAATACTTGATAAGGTATTTGTGACTGTTATGTATGCATATGTTTATAAATGTGGGTGTGGAGAATCTGTTTTTATGCAATGATCGTCATCACAGCTTAACTTCCTGAATCATTATACAAATGCAGAAATGGTGAAACATAGTAATAACTTGCCTAAGATCATGGTAATTAAATTATATAACTCAATTTCGACCAGTTACTAAGTTCTCACATTTAAGATTTATACAGAGAATAAATTAACTATTAACATAAACATGACTTTTGATCAGTCATCTACAAAGGAAAATCTACTGCAATCCTGAATTATGGAAAGACATAATCTATTCCTTTTCTGAAAAAGCAAACTGTTATTCTTAAAAAAACAGTAAGAGATGGCAGACAGACATAGCAAGTAAAAAATCTAGTGTAAGGAAAATTTCCTGGTATGGAAAATAAAGTTTTGTTGCAAATAAAATAGTTAATATCATGGGTTCTAATTTCAGATCCAGTCTTTGTTCTAATGAATATTAACAATGAGTCATTATTTATCCTGTGTAGAATATAAATATGTAATTTAGCATATATATATATAATATATATCCTAAATTAGAAAAAAAAACCCTGAAATGTGTTGAGTTTAGTTACTTTAAATACTGCTTTATTTCACATCATTTCAACACAATGTTGACAATATCAAAGCTATTATAGTGATGGAAAAATAAATATTTATGATTATGTATTTAGTAAGTGTTAGACCAACATTCAAAACCAGTTATATGGATATGCACAAGTTAGAAAGAATGTGAAATATTCTGTAATAACTTGAAAATATGTAACTAAAGCCTATCCTTTATAAGTGAATTTGATCAATTATAGACATATCAGGAATTATTGTGTAGAAAAACCTTGCTTTTATAATAGGTAGTTATTAACTGAAAAAGAATGCATAATTAATGAGCACAGAAATTGTGTTGGGTGGAAAAAAAGACAAAGATCTCCACAAATCCTTTATAATGAATCCAGATATCATGTCAACTTCCTTATCTTCTGAATTAAGTGTCACTTGATATCTGTCTACCTATTATTCTCTTATTACAATATACCATGCAATGTCATCATCATTAATTGTTTTTCCAAATTCATTCACACCAAGAAAGGAACTCACTTCATGGGAATGTAAGCATCCCTATAACTGAAAAGATTCAGGGTTCTTTTTTTATGAATGACAAACAATTAATTGCAATCAGTTAATTTAATTGTAATAAATTTATCCCCAAATTCTCATTGTCCTTTGGTGTTGTGACATGATACAGCTTTTAGAAAATCAAGATAATCATACTCACTAAGATGAAGTGTCTTTGAAGCCAGCCAGCACACCTTCTCTTGTCAGAAATGCTTCTCATCATGTATCATGTTTTTCACCATTTCAAAATTTTGAATGTAAAATGGACAATAATTAGAGTTACCAATACCCTAAGAGAGAAATTATACTGGTAAAATATTTTGTGAGGCTTTTAGAAGACAGATAACAACTGTGAAAATAAATTTTCTTTAAATAATATATCAATTTGTACCAAGGAAAACATCCATTAACATGGTAAAACTTTTTACTTATTTATTTATTTATCTATCTATTTATTGTAGTTTAATTCAAAGCCATACTCTTAGTACAACAGCTCTCCATTGTCTTTGTTCAGCCTAGTTGTCTGACAAATTACTGTTGTTAAATAAAATTAAAATATAAGACAAGATCTAGACAATCTGAAAGCTTCATTAAATTGCACATTCACATTTGATGTACAAAGCAATAAATTTATACAAATTGTAGTTATTTATTTCTTATAATAACTTGATGTGGAAGAGATCCAGCACTATATGAGAGAAAAAATAAACTTAAATATCTCTGTATAATAGGAAAAGAGATGTACCTAGTGACTGTATAACTGAATGGAATTACTTCTGATTTTTTTTTCTCTATTTATATGTCAAAGCCTATCCTTAACATCTGCATCCAAGACTCATTTAACAAGTGTTACTGGCTTGAAGTTTGATGAAAATCCCCTCTCATACTCCAACTTTTAACATGAAAATGAAAGAACGGAAATCTAACATCAAAGGTGTGAATTTTACATTCCCAACTATGCACTTTGGGTTCAGTAAATAAAATAATTCTTTCTTGCCTTTGGAGAAACTAGATTATGTGTCTATCTAGACATAAGGAAGAGGAAGTTCTTTCCTTGTGTATTGTTTTGTTTTCCTACACGAGCTGGTTCTCCAAATTCTGTGATTCAGGGAGCATTGAACTCTAAATATAATCTGGGTAAACAGTAGGCAGGCAAGATAATAAAAATAGCATTCATGCCATTTTGTCTCACCAGGGACACTAAGTATATTTTCAATTAGGTATATATTTTTTAACTGATGCTATTTTCCAACCCTCCTCTTTCCAAACAACTAGGAAAGCTTTGCTAAATCCATCATTCATGTATTTATTTAAGAAAGGCTCACTCTTTGGGCACCTATCATTTAAGTGAGAAATGAAAAATCTGTATGGGAGATTTATAAGTAAATGAGACATAACCACTGATTTTAAGATTCTTAATACAGTAGCATAAAGTAAAGTAAATGTAATGCAGTGTTAAGTAATGAAACAGGCCTAAAGTACTGAAGTAGAAACCATTGTTTATGGCTCAGAGGAACAGGAAATAATTCTCATAGGAAAGATATCCATGGGTAGGATTTCAGTT
Organism: Homo sapiens; assembly: GCF_000001405.40. Taxonomy (NCBI): domain Eukaryota; kingdom Metazoa; phylum Chordata; class Mammalia; order Primates; family Hominidae; genus Homo; species Homo sapiens. The sequence continues at coordinate 31,359,224 of NC_000009.12, read as the reverse complement.
CCAAGAGAAAGACAATAGGAAGAATTACTTCCCAGAATTAGAAAATAGCATAAGAAAAAAATATTATTGAATTTTGTCTCCATATTTTGCAAACCTTTTTTGAGTCAAGGATTGATCATGATCTATTTCATCTGATACTTTGTGTGTGCATTGACTCACTTCTTCCATCATCTCTGGATGTTAGCTGTATTTCCATTTTATAGGAAAATGTGAAAGCCCTATTTATCCTTACATACATTGTCAATGACCAATTCATGTAAACTAACTAATGTAAGACTAGTGATCAAAACGAGACCTTGTACCTTCAAAATCCATCTTCCAAAAATCACATTGCCTCTTGAAACTGGGAACTTTAAAGAGGGTACTATGGGAGTTATTTGCTGATCTTCTGAGGACATAAAGGTCACAAAGACATTAAAAGTGGAATAGGTCACTAAAACAGAGGTAATGTGAATGAGAAAATCTACTCAGAAGGTAACAAGTGTATTGTCCAGAGAAAAAAGAACTTTGAGTCATGTGCTAAAATCTTTGTGGGTCAGTGTTAGAGTGGCTTGGAGATTGCTGGATAGTGTGAAAAATGATATGTGTAAAGAAAGAGATCATAATCCTGGATTTTTAACAAGTTCAAAGGAAGAAGGCTAGGAGAGGGAGGCTGCCTTAGCATTTGCTTTGAAATAGAAAACAAAATGCCAGACTTCTCCAAGGAGAGTTGAAGAATAAAGGATTGAAAGGGGTTGATATGGTTTGGCTGTATCCCCACCCAAATCTCATCTTGAATTCCCACGTGTTGTGGGAGGGACGTGGTGGGACATAATTGAATCACGGGGGCAGATCGTTTCTGTGCCGTTCTCGTGATAGTGAGTAAGTCTCACGACATCTGATGGTTATTCTAAGGGGGGTTTTCCTGCATAAGCTCTCTTTGCCTGCTGCCATTCATGTAATATGTGATTTGCTCCTCCTTGCCTTCCACCATGATTGTGAGGCTTCCCCAGCCACTTGGAACTGTAAGTCCAGTTAAACCTCTTTCTTTTTTAAACTGCCCAGTCTCGGGTATATCTTCATCAGCAGCATGAAAACAGACTAATACAGGGGTGGTAGTATAAAAGATATACATTTTTCGGGTGAGACACTATAAAATTATATACTTCTTCCATATTGTTTCTCTCTATACATCAAAAGCCCATTTCAAAAAGCAATTAATATTGTGTGTTTTAAGATATTTTAATAAGGAAGATTTATAAGAGGGAAAGGCTAATTCGTGTGAAACACATCAGGATAGTTGAATTTGAATCTTGATTACCATTATTTTTATCATTATTCATACTGGAATTACTCCTTGCATTATGTGTAGATGTTTTCACATATATGGATCGATTCTCGTTTACACATTAGTGATGATTATAGCAGGCAATATATGAACATAAAATAAATAAAGCCAATTTTTGTTTATCTGAAACATTTTCAAAGGTAATATATTAAAACATCAATTTTCTTATGAATCTACTCTATTTAGTAGAAAGAGTTAATGCTTCATGTTGTTCAAGCCCACCATATAATGATCATATGATCATGCCTAGTGTAATGTCTTTCAAGATGGATTCTAACTTGTTTTTAGAGATAATTTAAATGATGGGTATAATGCAATTGCACATAATATTTAAAAATTGGTTAGCATGTTCTCTATGTAAGCATACATAAGTAAATAACTCTTAAATATTAAAAATTATTAGACTTTTCATGGTCAGTATATTTACCATATATATAGTATGTTCTCTATGTAAGCATACATAAGTAAATAATTCTTAAATATTAAAAATTATCAGACTTTTCATAGTCATTACATTTACCATATGTAACTTCAAAGATACATTGCTTAAAATTAAATTAATCACAGATTAATAGGCATAACATCAATAACCAAATAAATCAAAGCAACAAAAATCACCTGGCCCTCTGAACACAACCCTCTTTTGCACAAGTAATCTGTCCCTTAACATGCCTTATACCTTGTATTTGACCACATATTCATTGAAAAGTATTAGTCTTACCTACTTGTTGTTGCTTAGTAACAAACATAAACCTGCTGAAGTTTTTAGTACAAAGTTGTACCATTATTATGATAGTAATGAATGTAATTTAACTTTTATACCTAAACATTATTTTTATTGACAGGAGATGAGATAATGCCTAAAATGGCAATGATGTTGCCATTTTTACAATAAAATCTTCTAAATGAGTTAATACTTTCAATTTGAGACTGAATTTTAACAACTTATTTCAGGTTTACGTGACAAGTAGAAAAATTCTTATTGTGTAATATATCATTATCACTGCAGAAAGAAGAGCTTTTATAAACACAGCAGACAAATTAACACTACAACAGCAAATATGGCAAGAGGTATTGCTCACTCTTGTCATATTTATTAGATTTTTAGAGGCAAAGCAGGGAGCCACATTTGGATATGTAAGAATTAAATTCCAACATAATTTAAACAACCAACAATATCAATAATATTTATTGAAACTAGACACTGTTGTTGAATGGAGTCAATGTAATCCAAAACTTTTGGATAGGATTTTAAAACAGTGGACAGTTTAGAATTCTAAATAAGGATGTACAATGGTGAGGAGGGGGTCTCACTTTATTCACAAGACAGAAAATAAGTCAGAGTGCTATTGGATTTATTATGTATTGTAGTTAATAAAATCTAGGGCATAAAAAAGAAAAAAAGTATTTGGTAAGAAAAGTACCATACTTTTAGGAATTAGGAATCAGGATAAGTGTGTTCTAGTTCTAATCCTGCAAATAGTGACTTTGAGGAAATATGTCTTTCATATTCCTATGCATTTTCTTCATCTGTTTATTAGCAATAGAACTCCCACCCTAAATACATGATTTTCTGAACATTTTGAAGTTAGATAATACATGTGAAAGTGCCTTGTAAACCACAATGTGGTATACACACATCTTACTATTATTAAGAAACACTTGCTACTGTGTTATTTGTAGGCTGCATATCAGAATTCTCCATTTAAATATGACTCACCACTAAGTATAATGGCACTATTATGCTAAAACATGATACCTAATTACATAAATTCATTCAACCATGAAATTACTTTGTTAATACACAATGGAACAGATTGGTTATGTGTGTTCTTGCAAATGAATACATCTGTGTAAATAGTGACCTTCACTGGATACTTTTTTTAAATTCTTTGTCTAATAAAATAGTATTTGCAGATATAACTCTCTTTATAATTTGTAAACACAATAACATTCCACTAATTTCACACCTGTGGTCAAGGAAAGTAATGATGAAACATGACATTATTAATGGAGAGCATAAAAAAAGGAATGTAGATGTTGTTTCTGTTGATTGAATAGCTACTTTTCTTTTACTTAAAATACTAGTATCAAACCATTAATGTAAAAAAAGATATTTAACGTGGTGCTCTTATTCTCCGTATTCTCCTGGATCTGCCTTTGAATTATTCCTTTAATTGCTTCACTGCCTCGGTGGAATGCTTTTATGTGCCAGAAACCTTTTTAAAACTACAGACAATGTTTAGGTACATTGCACAGAATGTAGTCTACCCAACACGAACCAATTTCGAGAATTCTCATTTAAATTAAAGAACACCAGCTATTATGAAATCCTTTAATTTTACTATTTGCTCTCTGTATCTTTGCTTTCCAATGGAAATGACAATCTTTGAAGAAATTGTTTTTTTTCAATTAAAATATTTACTTTCCTATAGCAGTCACTAGAAATTATGAGATAGCAAGGGAGCATATCAAGAATAGTTATCTCATCTTAGAAGTTGTGCAACTCATCTGTCAGAGCTGGAGTAATTTCTCTGTCTTTCATAGATAGGAATTTGTTTCTATCTACCATGATAAGCAATATTGAGAAAAGATGAACATTGTTTTACTTCCTCTCAAATAGGTAATGAGTTTACAAGAAGAATGGACATACTTCAGTGACTAATTGTAAACAATATGTATGGAATCACTATGTTGTCTGCAATGATCCTAAGAATGTAGTAAATCTGAACAAAAGGCTAATGTAAAAATGGAAGTCTGGTTGTGGGAATCCATTAAACCTGGATAGGATTTGATGAATGCTTAAAAAAGGCTTCAGCCTTTCCCCATAGAAAAGGAAATAAGTGGGGGTAATCATAAAGAGCAGAATGAATGTCTGATTAGTAGGAAAAAATCATAAGTTTGCATTTAATTTGTTGGGAAGTGCCAGTTTTGAGACTCAGAGAAAAGAGTATAGAATTCAAGAGCACTTTAATTGGTCATTGCATGTTTGCTGGCAAAAGAGACAGAAATGAAAGTTGTTTTAAAGGTAATGGGCTTTGCTAGCATGTGAAAGCTGGATATTCATCATCATTATGATAATCATAGAAAATGTAATAGTTGATTCCAAGGTCATCTCAAGCACTATTTAAAGTACCTCCATGTTTTATCTAATGAATTATTGACATCAACACCATTAAAGAAATACTAAGTATTACCTATTTTTGCAGATGAAAAAAGAATTAGAAAGCTGTATCAATTGCCTAGGGTCACAAAGTTAGTGGTCTGTCCTCATAAGAACCCTATTCTCAATGAATTGGAAGAGGAAGTCTAGTAAATTGATGATGACTCCATCCATTAGTAGTACTTTTCAAATAATTTAAAATATTGATATCTATGAACATTTTGGGAGAAAAAGAGGAGTGAGTGAGAATAACATAATTATATTAAAACTAAATAAATATATTAAGTAATTATTTCAATATCTGTTATCCTGTATAGACAGGCTAATTGAAATCTTGGAAGTAAATCTGAATATACTAATGTAAGAATAATCACCATATAATTAAGTTGGGATTTTTCATGTAGAAAAGGAAGAATATTCTTTTTTTTTTCTGTTTTTAGCTTTTTTTGTTTTGTTTTGTTTTGTTTTGTTTTATTATACTTTAAGTTCTGGGTTACATGTGCAGAACATGTAGCTTTGTTATGTAAGTATACACGTGCCATGGTGGTTTGCTGCACCAATCAACCAGTCACCTACAGTAGGTATTTCTCCTAATGTTATCCTTCCACTACCCCCACATCCCCTGACAGGCCCCGGCATGTGATGTTCCCCTCCCTGTGTCCATGTGTTCTCATTGTTCAACTCCCACTTATGAGTGACAACATGCGGTGTTTGGTTTTCTGACCTTGTGATAGTTTGCTGAGAATGATGGTTTCCAACTCCATCCATGTCCCTGCAAAGAACATGAACTCATCTGAAAAAGAAGAATATTTTTAGGCCAAGTGGTGATTTAGAAAAACAATAATAAAATATTATTTTCTGTTCTCACAATATGCACCAAATAATAAACTCAAGGATTCCAAATACCGTGTTTTACTAATAAAATCTTCTAACAACTAGAGCAACATATAAATAAATATTAATTAAAAATAAAAATGCAAGGGATTTGGCCGGGCGCGGTGGCTCACGCCTGTAATCCCAGCACTTTGGGAGGCCGAGGCGGGTGGATCATGAGGTCAGGAGATCGAGACCATCCTGGCTAACAAGGTGAAACCCCGTCTCTACTAAAAATACAAAAAATTAGCCGGGCGCGGTGGCGGGCGCCTGTAGTCCCAGCTACTCGGGAGGCTGAGGCAGGAGAATGGCGTGAACCCGGGAAGCGGAGCTTGCAGTGAGCCGAGATTGCGCCACTGCAGTCCGCAGTCTGGCCTGGGCGACAGAGCGAGACTCCGTCTCAAAAAAAAAAAAAAAAAAAAAAAAAATGCAAGGGATTTATAACCATAAAAGTTATGTAAGAAATCATAAAAACAATAAAACTGACATGAACAAAGAAAACAGCAAACATCCAAATAAAATGAAAAAGAAGACAAATGAAAATAAATGTCTCCAGGGTATTAGAAAAATAAGGGTCAATATCATAACAATGAAAGCATTTTTACAATATCAAGAATAAAATGTGAAAATTAGAAAATAATATTACATTAATAACAAACAAAAATATAAACAAATTGTCAAAGAAAGTTAAACTAACTGAAACATATTTGAACTTTGTAATATTTGAAGACATATTAAATAAATATAAGGTATGTTATTTTTAATCAATTTTACAATGTAGGAAACTATGATACTGTAGGCAAATATATAAATAAATATGCTGGCCAGGCACCGTGGTCACGCCTGTAATTCCAACACTTTGGGAAGTTGAGGTAGGCGGATTACCTGAAGTCAGGAGTTTAAGACCACTCTGGCCAACATGATGAAAACCTGTCTCCACTAAAAATACAAAAAATTAGCCGGGTGTGGTGGCACACATCTATAGTCCCAGCTACTCGGGAGGCTGAGGCAGGAGAATCGCCTGGACTCAGGAGAGGCAGGTTGCAGTGAGCCGAGATCGCACCACTGCATTCCAGCCTGGGTGATAAGCGTGAAACTCTGTCAAGAAGAAAGAAGGAAAGAAGGAGGGAAGGAAGGAAGGAAGGAAGGGGCACAAATACAAGAATTACCTTTACATATTTACAGCAAGATACAATTTTCTTAGCACACATACCAGGAAGAAAATGAATAAATACATAAGGATATTAACACATATATCTCTAAATGATGAAATTGTATGTATTTTATGAGCAGATTTTCTTTACATAATTTGGTGGATTATTATAAGGTAATAGCTTACAAAGGCAAAAATAAATAAATATGCAACACAACCAGGATTTAAGCCTGACCTGTCTCACTTATGTTTATTAATACATATTTTGAACAACAGTGTCATATGGATTACAGGAGGTAGATGTAAACATTTAGATATGACAAATGCATTAAGTGCTCAGTGAAAAACTGCAGTTGCTTGTTTTGTGATGGTGCTAGTTTTCATAGTGGTAGTAATGGTAGCAATAACAAGATAAATGGAAGTGGTAGGAGAGCAATAGAAGCAAATAGTAATAGTAGGAGTAGCAAAAGTAATAGCCTAATAGTATATAAATGTACTTTCCAGTAGTTGACAGTAGAAAGTCAAAAAATAGAAAAGTAGTAGATTGTTTAGTATGTTGGAAACATGATACACTGTAAAAAAAAATAATAAGGTACCACATAATAATTGTGTGGCTTCTAACAACCTGACCAAATGATATTGATCTGTTTCCTCACTTAGAAGACAGCGTGCATACTATTATACTTATTTTGATATTTTGATATTCTCATGTAAGAATGAAATATTATAATGTATGACAACCATCCAGAGCAATACTTGACACTCGGTATAAGAAAACAGGTTTTCTTTCTTCTGCTCTGTTAAAATATTTTACAACTATTTTTGTTCGTTATAAAATAGTATTTTTCATTTTAAAAATGCTCATATAATTTTTAATCACTACGAAACAATCTAAATACAGATTTTGACACTCTTTAAGCTTAAACGGTGTCAAACTCTGTACTCTTTCTGCATTATGATTTCAATTTGAGTACATGCCTTTCTTCTAGTTCAGTTGTAATATCCTCCACAGAAGAGGCTTGCAGTAATATATCTCAGACTTCTGGCACCTGACATAGTACCTGGAAAAAGAAGTAACTGGCAAGAAGTAACTGAACAGAAAATATTTTTTGTTTTTGTTTGTTTGTTTTAATTGAGCTTAAGAAGCAGAAATAACAAGCTAACTATTATTAATCCAAAAATGAAGATGGATAGTTAGTGTGGTTTAAACCACTTAATTCAGCCCCTGACTCTCATATTGGATTTATGGAGTATAAAATATATACCTTCAGTAAACTGCCTCAAGACTCGAGTCACCTTCCCATTATTTTTAAGCTCCAGCCATTGATGCAGGAATCAGCCATATGCAGGTGTAACCCGACAGCATCTCATTCCAGTGGGACTTTCATCTCTCTTTGCACTGGAAATATTCTGTTTCTGCTTTTGTAATAATTGTGGGAATCTACCAAGTGATTTTGATACATGCACAAACCTGATATTTTTTAAGGTAAGACTTAATTAGTGGTATATGAATGTTGGTGGGTAAAATATTCTCCTCTTTTTGTCTCAGATTAAGACTTCAGGTTAATTTTCCCGTGCCCTTAACAGTGTCTTGAGTGGAATCATGCCCGAATTTCCTGCAATCATAATACATTCAATAACACAGATTGATTTTGCTTTCCTCCCTTTAACTCACTCTTTTAGTGTCCATTGATTTTTATTCTTAGGGGTCAGTTCCCAAGATAAACAATCTGCCTGCAAGTACTTGTCTAAATCTCACCTTTTTAGGAAAGTCCAGGTTAAGAGAATGTGGGTAAAGGCCATAGAAAGCAAATCATCAGGATGGGATTCAGGATCTGAACCTTTCACTGGTCACATTGATAACAACTCTGTATCTGGAAAGTGGGAAGGTGACAACCCCTGACCTAAAAAGTCTCTATAAAGTTGTAATATTATTAAGAATCATTTGTGGTGGATTGGAATCCTGCATAGATGAAATCTGAAACTCTGGCTTCTGTAATAGTGGTGGCACTGAAATATTGAGCAATGGTATTTTTGTAGCTTTATTGAGGCATAGTTTATATACAAAACTGTGCATATTTAATGTCTACATTTAATGAATATGGATTTATTTATACACTCATTATACAACCACCACAATCAATATACTAAACATATCTATCATCACTAAAACTATCCTTTCCTCTTTTATGCCTCCTATTCCTCGCCTGAGGTAAGATCACTTTTCATTCAATCTATCCTCCTAATATATTTTATCTATTTTATGTTTTTGAGATGCAATCTTGCTCTGTTGCCTAGGCTGGAGTACAGTGGCATGATCTCCACTCACTGCAGCCCTCCTGGGTTCAAGCAATTCTCCTGCCTCAGCCTCCTGAGTGGCCAGGATTATAGGCACCCACCACAACACCCAGCTAATTTTTGTATTTTTAGTAGAGACGGGGTTTCACCATGTTGGCCAGGCTGGTCTTGAATTTCTGACCTCCAGTGATCCGCTCGCCTCTGCCTCCTAAAATGCTGGGATTACAGGCGTGAGCCACTGTGCCCAGCCTATTCTCCTAATATATTTTAAAGCAGGCAATGGTATTTTTAAGGACTGTGGAGTTAGCTGGATTTGGTTAGCAGTCTTTGAAGCCTTGAAAAGGAAAAATAAGTTTATGTTAATCAACTATTAACTCAAGGCGCTCTATGGCAGTGTACAAAGAGCACCTTTTCTTCTGTAACTGCAGGGCACAGCTTCAGAGGAGACTGAAGGCGTGGTCTCCACAGGTGTTCTTGGCCAATTTCAGCACCCTGGTAGAGAAAGAATGGGATTTTATGACCTCGAGTATAGCCATTTTGGCAGAAAAACCTGAAAAATCTCTAAACACTGGATTCTCTCTGACTTTACAGGATAGAAAGTGCAGTTTCCTCCTTTTTGTCAGGGTGACATCAGCCTCCCCTGGCCCAGAGAGTCTGTAAGAACCTCCCCTAAGTTAGGGAGCTCACAAACAGGGTTCATAAGATAAGGCACCATCTCTATCCTTGTCCCTGCGGATCAATGACTAGAATTGCTTTACATCATAATTTGAAAGCCAGGAGTAGTACATTCCTTGCTATTGTAAGAAATAGTTCATTCATTGAAATTGTTACTTAAACATAAGTTACACGTCTCATATTGGCAGGAATGAAGAAACACAGCTGGAGGATCTTGACATTATTGAAACAGATAGTGGAATAGAAGACTGGATAAAGGGGAACTTAAGGACATAGTGGTTAAGTCAACTCATATTTGCTGTATAATTTTTAGTGTAAAATGTTTATATTTTGGTTCATCACAGTTACTAAGTAAATACTAACAGCAAATTGGGAAATAAATAAATTGGAATTGGTTTATAATTAAAATGAGAAGTTTATAGTCCAATTTATTTTAACTTTTATTTTAGGTTCAGGGGTTGCGTGTGCAGGTTTGTTACATGAGTATGTTGTGTGACACTGAGGCTTGGGATATGAATGATTCCATCACTCAGGTAGTGAGTATATATGCAATAGGTAGTTTTTCAACCCTCAACCCTCCCCTTTCTTCCCCCAACCCCAGTAGCCCCCAGTGTTTATTGTTCCCATGTTCGTGTCCATGTGTAAAAATGTTCAGCTCCCACTTATGAAACAATGTGTGTGCAAATTGTCTTAGTTTAAAGAAGATCTTCTTGAAGATTTGAAGTAATATGCTTTCCATTCTCCCCACCCTGGGAGGATTTACACCAATGTGAGAAAAACAACTAAAACTGAAATAATTTTACTGGAGCTGCAGGATATTGTACGCATTGCCCAAATGATCATTTCCATTTCTAACATATGTTACCTTTGTCTTTATGAGTTTGGCTCAGAGAAGAGATAATGAATGACAGAAAGATAAAGATTAACATTTTAGTTTGAAAATCTGAATGTCAATTTGGAGAAGTATCATTCTCCCACTATAAAATATCGATTCAGAGAAAAATATTTGAATTCCTGTTTTCTGTTTAGAGTTTCATTCCTCTTGGGATATTTCTGAGGTTATCATAACACTTTAGCAACTGTTTTTTAAAACAGAGCCTTCTTATTCAGATTATTACATTGTTTCATGCTGATAATGATAGCACAGTTGTTTGGATTGAATCTATTTTACCAAACTAAATGCTTATATCCTCTCCCATTTTGACAAATTTCAAAGTGCCTCTCAATTGTTGCTGTAATCTTTAGATCCTGTGGAAGGTTTTTTCCACACTTTCAATACTGACCTCTAAAAGGTAAATCAGTATACTTCTTTAACACTCACAAATTAGTAATCATCTGTAGAATGCTTAGAATCAATTGTTAATTTTCAGCATCTTTTGACCATCACTGGTCTGTCTCTGACCTGTCTAGCTGTAGGGGATAAAAGCTTATAGCATGTGAGGTTGATTTCTTTGATTTCTGATTCAGTGGATATTATTCTCATCAGAACATTGAGAATGCTTTCAGCATCACTGAAACTTTAAGACAGTTGGCTCTCCCATCTCAGGTGTGCCAGGAGGCAGTGTATGTGTGTTTACATGAATACTAACCAACAGCTGTCCCTCTCCAAGCCTTTGTAGTACTATCTTCTCCCCATAAGGTTTTTTAGTAGGTTCCAAATTGAAGTCACTATGCTATATGTTGTCTACATCAAGCAAAGCCAACATAATATGTCATCTCTTGAGGAAATTACATCCGAATTCAAAGCTCATTGTGGCACACTTTTTCAACATTTGATATTTAGAAAAATACTAACATCTACGATTCTTTTTTCCTTGATTTAAAATGAGATAACTAAATACATTCTAGTATTAAGTGAGATACCGTATTTAAAGTGATTAGTGTCAAACTTTACATCCAGCAGTATTCAATAAACATTAACAGTCATCACTATTATACTGAACTAAAGCTCTTTGTCTCCAGATATTCTGCTCTAGCTAGAATGTAGAATTCGTAAGAAAAAATTGTTTCCATTTTTTGGAAATTGTTTCCTAGATAAATTAAAAGTCCTATGTTTTTAAAGGCAAAAAGTGCTGGTGATTCAAAAGACTCTTAATGATTATGTTCCAGAGAAATACCAGAAGTTTCTAGAAAAACAGAAACCAGTGATCTCTTCCTTCTCTCAGGCATATGTTAAACCTCGGCCACGGGTGGGTAGAGGATCAAGCCTGCCAAACTTAAAGGGACTGTTATGGGATAAGGAGAAACCAGCGGAATGGATAGCAACCATTTGAACTGATGTGATAGATTCGAGTATGTGGGATCCCAAATATACAGCTAAGTTTTTCCTGCCTGCCAGTTCTTTTTTACAGGACATTTTCTGAAAGCATAATAGAATTGAAGGCTGGAGGATGGATTGAAAAACAGAAATAAGTCTTTGAAGTCCTGCTGTACTTATATCACAACATCCTGCTAGATGTACGGAACCACATGTTATTCTTAAGAACAGGAAGCTAAAAGGAAACTGAAACTCACTCAGCAGCAAAAACAAACAGGCCAAACAACTCAGCTCAGCCCTGAAAGGATTAAAGTATTGTCCCCTGCGTGTAAATGTATATCAAAAGAGAAAAATATAATAGTATTTGGTCAAATTACAATTTTTTTTGAACACAATATTTGGTATACAAAAAACATTTACATAAGGGGCAGAAAACCGTAAAATTAATATTCATATTCAACAGTTAAATAAGAAAATGGGAACAGAACAACAAACAACCTAAGTGTTAGAAAAAACACTTTATAAAAATGATTACAAATAAGAGAAAAATCAGAGAGAAAAGTGGACAAAATCAATGAAAGTATTGGTCATTTTAACAGATGGCTGAGAATAGGAGATTATTATTTTCACAGAAATTTTATAATTTTATAAAAGAACCAAATGTATTTTCTTCAACTAAGAATTTTTTAAAATCTTAAATAGTGTTGCTTGGATAGGGTAACAGCAGACTTGTCACAGAAGAAAAAATGGCTTAGAGAATTTAAGATACATTAATAAAACTATACAAAGTATAGAGTGAGCATAGATTAATTTATAAATAAAAGAAAAAATTAAAACAGAGTATCAGTCTTCTGAGGTAATGTCAAATATTTTTCCATGTTAGGAGACTGAGAATAACACAGAAAGATAATTAAGACACAGAAAATTTTGAAGATACAATATGAAAGAATCTCCTAAATTTGTAAAACCTTTAATATGAATTTCAGTAAGCTCATTAAACCCCAAACAGGATTAATACAACACAAATACACATATGCACCAACCCAAAGCATATCATAAAGGCTTCATAAAAATGCTTTTAAAAACTTAAATATTGTCATCACTGATAATGAAACCCAGATGACCAGAAGGCAATAAAATGTCATTTTTAAAGAGCAAAAAGGAAAAGAAAATCTAGTCAATAGTTTTTAATCTAGTGAAATATCCTTCATAAATGAAAGTAAAATAAATAGATAACTGGAAAAATGAAAGCTGAAAAAAATTTGTCTCCAGCATACCCACAATAGAAAAAACAAAATTTACTCTTCAGGTAAAGGAAAAATGTTTTCAGGAAGAAGCACAAATCTGCAGGAAAGTATGAGAATGATAGATTAATATAGATAAAGATAAAAGTCTATAATAAAACATTAAAAGATCTGTGTAATTTTGGATGTATGGCTTAAGTAGAATAAAATATGGTATTTATTTATATATCAATAATAACAAAAGATTGTTATTCTTGTTAACAGATTATTAAAATATTAATTCAAACTGAGCTCAAGTTAGCCATATGTATTTTAAAGTGCTAAGTAAACATTAAAATAGGAAAAGTGAAATGCAATAGTGCTGACAAAATAAAAAATTACTTGAGTTCCTCAAAAGAGACAAAAATGTAAAAAGAAAAAACAGAAGGAAATAGCAATAGCTTGTATATTTTAAAACAACCTCATCGGTAACTATATTAAATATAAATGGTCTAACCACTCCAATTACATTAGAAAAACTGTCAGATTTTATAAAAAGAGGCTTAAATATAGGCAGTTTACAAGTGAACCACTTAAGTATAAGCATAGATTTCCAGAAAAAGTTGAGCAAACTACATGCAAATAAAGTAGAAAGATGAATATAATAACTAAAGTAACAGCAATCAGTAAAATAGAAAATGGATTAACACAAAGGACATTGAAACAAGCCAAATTTTGTTTCACTAAATAGGTTAAAGCAAGAAGGAACAAAAAAAGAGAGAAAAAAATTTCTAACAAGATGATTGAGAACAGGGGATTATTATGAATTATAAAATATTTTAAACAGGAAGAGAATATTATGAGAAACTTTATGTCTATAATATAACTTAAATAAAATAGGCAAATTCTTTGAGAAAAATAACTTTAAAAAACTGACACAGGAAGAAATGGAAAACCTGCACAATTCCATGTCAGTTAAAGAAATCGGATCTGTCATTTCAAACTTTCTCATTAAAAAAAATCTTTAGACATAGATAACTTTTCTGTTAAATTCTATTAAATATTTATAAAATATATAATAGCAAACCTATGAAAAAAATTTTCAGATATTCGAGGTATAGATAATGTTTCTCTACTTGCTATCCAAGATAGAACCCTGATAATAAAACCTGGAAAATATTACTTGAGAATAAACTCCCTAATCAATATCTCTCATGAACTTGAAATAAATTTAAAGAATTGCCTGTTTTCATGTAGTAATGTATGAAAATGCTGATATATAATAACTAAGTGTTTTACTCTCTGTGAATGAATGGTTGTTTTAGACTTTAAAAATCAGTAAATCAGCCCAGGTGTAGTGGCTCCTGCCTGTAATCCCAGCACTTTGGGAGGCTGAGGCAGGTGGATCACCTGAGGTCGGGAGTTTGAGACCAGCCTGGCCAACATGGTGAAACCCCATCTCTACCAATAATACAAAAATTAGTCAGGCATGGTGGCGCACTCCTGTAATCCCAGCTACTTGGGAGGCTGATCATGCCATTGCACTCCAGCCTGGGTGACAAGAGCAAAACTCCATCTCAAAAAAAAAAAAAAAAAATCAGTAAATCAATATAAAGTAAAAAATGTATATTAAATTTTTAACATAATAGGAGAAATATTTTTATTCTAGTTGAAGAATAATACTCCCAACTCCTTTTCAACTTTAACTGCAGGTTTTATTCAGGTCAATGAGTGAACACATAAAATGCATGAACATTTAAAATCAATATTGAAATCTGGCTTTATTTGAGATGAGATGCTGATGTAAACAGAAGACACAAAGGAATCTATAAGTTATTATACAAAATAAGTGAATTGTGCAAAGTCTCCAGATAAAAGGTCAATATACAAAGATGAATTCTGTTTCCATATAGTGGGAAAAAAATTAGAAAATTAAAATAAAAAATATAGCAACACTATTTACAATAGCATTAAAACATAATTGCTTAGTTATTAGTTTATGTAAACCTTTACATTGAAAAATTCAAAATATCAGTGAGATATTAAACAGAATCTAAATACTAGAGATTTCTAACTAGTTAATTAGAAGCATCAATATTGTTAAAATGTTAATTATTCTCAAATTAATCTCCAGATTTAATGTAATCCTAATAAAAATTCTAGCATTCTTTTTATAACATTTATAAAAAATTGTATACCCTAATTTGTCATTTATCACATGTTTTCATAAACACATGAGCCCAGCATATTACCTCTATCCTTCTCTGTGGTCAACTTTACTAGCATTCTCGTAATAATTTTCTCATGTTCCTTTAAATTACCTTTTATTCCAGGTGTATCTCCATATTATAATTCACCTATGTACCAGTTTAAAATAGCCTTTCATCTTCCTAGAAAATTTGTTTCTCAATTTTTAAATTGTTATGACTTCTATGAGGGTGTTTTATTAAATGTTCATTGAAAATCAGTATTATTTTAAAAACTTGCATGGATTTCAAATATTTTGCACCAAAATCAACTCAAAACAACTTGTTATAGTATGCCTAAACAGGATCTAGATTGAGACACTAAGAAGGATAAGATACGAATTTGAAAAGAGCCTTTTATCAGAGCAACATGAATCCTGCTAAAATTGAAGCAAGAAAAAACATCAAATTTATTGTGAAGCTTGGGTAGATGAATGGTGAAATCACTGATGCTTTACAGAAAGTTTGTGTAGACAGTTCCCCAAAGAAATAGCAGTTCACAAATGGATAACTCATTTTAAGAAGGCAGGAGATGAGGTTGAAGAGAAAGCATGCAGTGGTAACTATCCACATCAATTTGTGAGGAAAAAAAAATTCATCTTCTTTATGCCCTAAATGAAGAGTTCTGACTATCAGCAGAAACAATAGCCAGCACCATAGACATCTTCACTGGTTCAGCTTACACAATTCTGACTGAAAAGTTCAAGTTGAGCACTTTCCACTCCATGGGTGCCAAAACTGTTGCACCCAGATCAGCTTCAGACAAAAGCAGAGCTTTCAATGGTAATTTGAAACAAGTGAGATAACGATTCTGAAGCATTTGTTAAAAGAATTGTAACAGGAGGTGAAACATGGCTTTACCAGTAGGATCCTGAAGACAAAGTACAGTCAAGCAAGGGCTAGCAAGAGGTCCAGTCAAAACAAAAGTGGACCAGACAAAAGCAAAGGTCGTGCAACAGTTTTTTGGGGGATGCTCAACACATCCCCTGAAATCATCCGGAAGGCCAAAGAATGATTACATCTGCTTATCATTAATGTGTTTTGAGAAAGTAGCCAAAGCTTAAGGAGCAAAATATGCAGAAAAATCTCATCAGAGAGTCCTTCACTACCACAGTGTTTCTGTTCATTCCTCTCATCACACAGGGCAATTTTGCAACAGTTTCAATGGGAAAACATTGGTACTTTACAGTCCTGATTTGACTCTTTCTGACCTCTTTTTGTTTCCTAATCTTAAAATATCATTAAAGGGCACTTATTTTCTTCAGTTAATAATGTAAAAAAGATTGCATTGACATGGTCGAATTTCCAGGAATCTCAGTTCTTTAGAGACAAAGTAAATGGCTTATATCATAGCTTACAAAAGTGTTTTGAATTTTGTGGAACTTATGTTGAGAAATAAAGTTTATATTTTTATTTTAATCTTTGAATTATATTTTTCCACATTTTCAAGTGCCCTCATATTGTGACAACTTATTTTAGCTTCACTTAAATTGTAAGTGCTTGATATATTTGTCTTCCTTGAGTGATACCGTAGTCTCATATTACATATTGTTCTAATGCTTTAGAATATTTTCAACTAAAGAGAAGTTTTATTTCTGTCTGATTTTGTGGAGCTACCTGTGTAGAATCACTATGTCCTTGTCTTTCTTTTTCCTTAAAAGTTGTGTAGATAAGTAAGCATACGTGAAAGATAGTTACCCCAGATTTTAATATCACCTTGAGTTCAAATTATCAGAATTGTTTTCCTGTTACCCTCCTGGTTGCTGTTTTTATCTTCACCATTGGCTTCATACTATAGTTTTGTACTTGAATTTCTCTGGTAATCAAGAGACAAAATTGAATTAGTTTTATTAATGTCAGTACCTCCTGATTCCCTAATGTTTACTTCCATAGTCTCTACTTGCATTTTATCTTTCCCATTAATTGGTAGCCCCAAATGTGTCTAGATTATTTGGATTCTGCCTCTCAGATTATAAAAGATAAATATTTTGCATATGATTACTTTCAACCTATCACAAAATATTACAGTATGTCACTCAGGATTGACAGATGCACATCTCGGCTATTATAAAAATTTATAATTTTATAAATTAAAAAATTTATAAAAAATTATATGGTTATCTTCCTGAATATTTCACCATTAATCCCTTTGAATATTCAAACAAATATTTGACCATCAATTCCTTTGTTTGAATGCTTCAAATGTTGTTTTTCTAGGAACTGGAGAGTTAATGAATTTAGTCTGATGTTTTGTATCTTACAATACTTTATAACTGCACTGTGATCTTTGTAGCTATGTTCAAGCTCACTCTTCCTTTACTGACACTGAAGTTCTTGCTCCTTCAACTTTTCTAGTTTTACCTGCAGTCTTATCACACTGACCCTAACTACAATCACCATTTTGTTTATAATTTATTTTATAATGAGGCTTTGAAGTTTACTATTTTCCAAAATTATTTTGAATTTTTAAAGTTTGGAAAAAGATATTATATTAATATTGCCTATATTTTTGCTAGCTTTAGTCTTTGAAGAAACAGACAAAATTGTTATACATATAAATTCACAAGTGCTTTTTTGCTCATATAAATAAAATGTATCATCACAACTTGATGATTAGTTCTCTCGGTTATTTTTGTTTGTCTTAACATATCTTTTCGCACCTGTGCAGTATATTCTCATTTAATTTTAAATATAACTTTTGATTTAATATTATTTGAAAATATAATGGTACTAGTTTTCTGATAGAACATAGCTCCATTATCAGTATGCTGAAGGCTCCAATTAACATAGGTCATTGCACAACTATAGTCCCATATTTAGGTTTGAGGATTGAAATGAGCATCATTTTCAGGGAATTGAATGCAGTTAGTTGACACATATACATAGCAGCAGGGATGTCTCAAAAATGCTATATTTGAAAACATACCTAAACAGTTTTAATTGGTGAGCCAAATACAATCTTAACTTTTCTCCTATTTTAATAATGTAAAAATATTTTTAAAGAACAAAACTGGACTTTAATAAGAATAAGACTCTCAAGATGTAATATAAGTACAGCACAGTATAATTTGGTGTATATGTGCATATATAGTGTGTGTGAGTAGGTTGTTTGCATATAAAGTCATGCATCCCTTAACAATGAGGATGTGTTCTGCGAAATGCATTATTAGGCAATTTTGTCATTGTATGAACATCATAGAATGTGCTTACATAAACTTAGATGGCATACCCTACTACTCACCTAGGCTGTATGGTATAGCCTATTGCTCCTAGTCTACAAACCTGTACACGACGTTATTGTACTAAATGTTGCAAGCAATTGGAACACATTAGTATTTGTGTATCTACACATATCTAAATATAAAAATTAAAAAGATACAATAAAATATGGTATTATACTCTTATGGGGTGACACATATATACAGTTTATTATTGACTGAAATATTACTTGGCACATGGCTGGCTGTATATGAGTGTATGTATAAAGAAGACATCTGGGAAGAGATATCCGGATACAAGCAGGATTACATTTAGGTGTCATGGTTATGGGTAAAATTTATTTTCTTCTGTGTGTTCTTTTATTTTTCTAAATTTATGTTCTTGAATATGTTTTACTTTGATAATAAAAATAAACTTAATAATAGCCTGCTTTTAAAAAATAAAAGAATAAAAACATTTAGGAAACTTTTCACATTTTAGATACTGGATTTAAATTGTGATTTTGAGTCAATTTTATATTTCTCCAAAATATCATTGAGAAAAAGTGGCATTGAGTTTTTCCTCTTTTTCAAGGCTTATTTTCATCTAAGTTTTGTAGTTCAATTAATATAAATGTTCTAAAAAATCAAGCTATAAAGTGTTTAACAAAAAAATACAAGCAAATAATAAATTTGACTATAATTGTTGAGACTTTTTCACCTCAAAATTTAGAAAATCCTTCAGCAAATATGTAGCAGTTTATCTGTAAGGATTTCCATGAAACATTGTTTGTAAGAGAAAAATTTGTAAAATCAAATTTGCTATATAAAGCTTTAAGTTTCTCTGTATATGCGTAAGAATCACAAAATGTTAACTGAAACACATAAAGATGTATGATTAATTTTCAAAAGTAGCATTGATTATAAAAACTTAAATACTAGAAATAATCTAGCTTTTTATAATTATAAGAATATATTAAAAATGTATGATACATCTATTCCATGAGATACTATGACGCTTCTAAAATTAATGAGGGGATGCCATAGATATTGATACAAAACAATGTCCATAATTAAGATTAAGTAGAAAAAAATGAATTGCTGAAAAGTTAACTAATATAATCACCTATGATCCCATGTTATAAAAATATGCTTGTAAGCATATAGATGTTTTCAGGAAGACAGAGAGAGAGGGAAAAGTTGGAAAGACATACGTTTTAAAGGGAAAAGATGAAGAGATACATGTGAAGGAGAAAGACAGAGGAAGAGTTGAGCAAAATAGGGCGGAAGAAAGGTGAAAGAAGTATAGAAAAAAAGAGCCTATACATGGATTTTAAAAAATGTAATTAGTAGATTTGAAAATGAGATACTTTCATTTTTAACTTTCAATTGTTTAATATCTAGTATATAAGGTAAGTAAATGCATTGCTATTATGATAAAAGATAAAGCATGTTTAATCACAAAGAAAATGTAAAAGGCAATCCACAAAGAAAACATATAATACGTGTAACTAAAAATTGCTAGCTTTAACAAAAAAGATTTGAAATCAATTTGACACTACAAATAAAAGGGCACAAATACACCCTCACAGAAAATAAAAAATACAAGTAGCTAAAAGCAAGGAAGAATATGTCCAACCTCAGTAGGACTCAAAGAAAGGTGAACTAAAACACTAATTAGATTTTTTCTAAATTAGCAAAAAAAATGGAAATAAATTAATACTGATAAGTGTTTCCACACCCATCTCCTATGTTATAAATCCAAGCATTCTTTGTGAAGGCAATTTTGTGATATATATCAAGAGTCATGAAGATTTGTATGTCTTTTGTGTAGTAATTTCTATTTAGAAATGTATGTGAAGGACTCCTTAATGAATATGGACTAAAATTTAGTTAAAATTTTGTTAATCACATTAAAAAACATCACTTTATAAAAAAGGTGGTTAAATAAATAATAGTTATACAAAGAGATTATGTATTCAAGTGATGTTTTTAAATAACATTGAATAGCATGAGGAAAGGCTCAAGGAAAATTCAAATAATAGAATAGGGCTAATTGTTTAAATAACAAGATTCTTATAGAGATATTGTGTGTGTGTGTGTGTAGGTGTGTGTGCTTTATATTTGAATGGGTTTGAGGTACCCCTTTTTCTATTAAAATAGTTATAATAAGATCAGTAATATTTTGCTTTTCATATATATTGCTTCATTGCATACTCTGTCTCACTCTCTTGCTGATATTAAAAACATTGTACCCCTTTTACAACTTATGGATAATAAACTTTAGATAGAAAAAGTATTTCTAAACTGTTGACAATAAATGGACATTGTATATGAATCCTTTCATTATTGCTCTACAATACAAGGGCAGCATGGCAAAGTTATTAAGAGCTGATAGCCAAACTGATTGCATCCAAGTCTATATTCTACTAATTAGTAGCATTTGAGCTTTATCCAAGTTACTTAACCTCTCTGTTACTCAGTTTCTTCAACTGTCAAATAAGAGATATAATTAAATCTATTTTGCAAGGTTGGGAAAATTATAAATGTCAATACATTTAATAAAATTTAATTGCTCTGTGTGTGTGTGTATATGTGAGTGTGTCTGTGGTAAAAGTACCTAAAAACAACTCTCTTGGCAACTACCAGTACATAATACAATATTAGCAATTATTAAGCATTAAATTCTATCATCGTCATCATCATCATTTTTATCATTAT
The DNA here is from genome assembly GCF_000001405.40 of Homo sapiens. Taxonomy (NCBI): domain Eukaryota; kingdom Metazoa; phylum Chordata; class Mammalia; order Primates; family Hominidae; genus Homo; species Homo sapiens. The sequence continues at coordinate 31,338,091 of NC_000009.12, read as the reverse complement.
TGTTATTGCTATGGTCTGAATCCTTGTGTTGTTCCCAAATTTATATGTTGGAATCCTAACCCATAAAATGATGGCATTAAGAGGTAAGACTTTTTGGAGGTGATTACATCATGAGGATGGTGCTCTCATGATTGGGATTAGTGCACTTATTTAAAAAAGAGACTGCCGAGGGCTAGCTAGTCCCTTCCATAGTGTGAGGATACAGCAAGAAGTTGTCATTTATAAACCAGAAAGTTAGCCCTCACTAGACACCAAATCAGCCCTGGTCTTGGGCTTCCCAGCCTCCAGAACTGTGAGAATTAAATTTCTGTTGTGCACAAGCCATCCAGCGGTCCAAATAAATGGAAGTTATTAACTACGATTATTTTCTGTATAACTTTACTAGACAAAACCTAATTATTATTTCTAGTCAGAAATATGTTTTAATTATTACAATTTAAGAGCCATGAGCTAGCAAAAGTATTGTATTCAAAAGAAAAGTTTATTGAAATGACTCCCATTCAATCCCAATTTCCACTGACTTAAAGGAAATTTATAGATGGTTTTTATGCAAACATTTTCCAAATGTAATTCATTAGTTTGGTAAACATAGTTACGTGGTATTGGCTAGTCCTTATGTCATCTTTGATTTCTAAAATCATTCTTCATTTACAAAGTACCAAAAAGAAAATGTAGTACACCTGCTGAAAAACATGTACTAATGAGTGTATCTAACAATACTCTGCTTTTCATTAAATATTTCATTAAAGTTATTCTGTCAGATTATCTATCATCTATCTATTCTAATATAACTTGATCAAGAAGATCCATAAAACTTTTCTTACATAATATTATTATGTATGAAATCTATAAATATATTCATATGCTATAAACCATGTTTGTATCATTGGAATTTTGTCCTTAATTAATGTCAATTCTTATGTTTTCTTCTAGAACCTCAAATGTGGGAATTTTTTTTCATTAAAACAGTGGATTAGCACATGCTGGATGGATTGCAAGATGCAGGTGCACAAATTGTTCTCATGTATCGCAGATGAGTATCCAAACATGCATGCTTGACTAGTCATGCACAACTATAGAAATATATCTGCAGAGCAAAAGGGTCTTAGCATCTGTCCCATGCACTGTAATTCTCATTAATTAAAAGAATTTACTCCATTTCAAAATGTCATCAGTTTGATGCTGCTCTGCTTCAGGCCCAGATGTGTAGTCATGGCAAAGAGCATGAGGTTAAATATCCCAAATAATAAGAAACTTCATAACAATGCAGCACAGTTCATACCAATGTGGAAAAGTGTATATAGAAATTGAAATTTGAATTTGTGTTTTAATTTTAGGGCACAATTAAAATATTTGGCAAAATATCTTAGACTCAAACCTATTTGGGAAAAAATAAGTATTTAATTCATGATTTCTTTCCTGCATGCTGTATTCGTTCTCCAGTGTGGCATATTCTAGCAGCATGGACTGATGAAATCTTGCCAAAGCATTTTGTTTTAACTCTCCTTTGCCAATAAACCCAGCCAGATTCAGGGAAAAAAAAATGTGTTGTTATTTTCTAGTTTCACATTGCAAGAAGCATTCATTTTTTCTTTGCCTATAACACATTACCAAGTTAGAATCTAAACTTGTGAGAATAAAACATAACTACTAACAAAATAACAAAATAAAAGTAACTTGTTCACATATGTCAGAGCTACTATTATAGCACGCATGAAGCAAACAGTTTTCAAGCCTTGTCTTTCTCTAAGGAAACAGACAATAATATTTGCACAAATGGTTTGGGCATGGTAAAACTTATATCATAATCCAGAAAGTACTGATCAACTATCTGGATATTTAGGAAAAGCAGTCCTTGAGCCACAAAACTGGTGTTTAAATACAGTTACTCATTTGTAATGAGTTGAATATCTTGGAATATTTACTTTTTACTTTGTTATTGAAGCAACCCTGTAATGTTGTTGCAAATTGTGGTCACTTTGCTGTTTTCCTGTTTGATTTCCGGCATGGGGCTATGTTCAGGGGTCTTGTGAATCTGATAATTTCCTGATTTTACCTTTTGTTTTTGTTTTCACAGGCACAGGATGTCCTAGAACAGGATGGTGTGTTTCTAGATAGCCATCTCTTCTCAGTGGTAATGATAACAGCTGACACTGGCACATGCCAAGGATTATCCCAAACACTTACATGTACAATTAATTTAATGCTCACAACACTATAGATACAATTATCACTACCTCTCCTTTAAATATGAGGAAGTTGAGGCACAGACAATTGTCAAAAACAGTCACATATTACTTTGATGGCAGTGGCAGCCATCCGGAGTGACTGTTGCCGTCATGCCTGCCACAGCAGGGAGGTGTGGCTGGGGCTGCATTCTCCATGGAGCTAGCAGGAGCTGGGGATAAGCAAGAGCCCTGCCCCGTCTGAGCTGGGGCAGGAGCTCCCCATGTGCTGCAACAGCTGCCTAAATCATGGCTGCAGACCTGGGCCTTCTGCTCCCTGGAGCAGACAGGAACCTCTCCCTCCCAGGTGCAACTGAAGCTGAAGATCTGGGTATCTGCATTCTTGGGGACCCAGGAAAGCCCCCTTGCCCTTACAGGCTCAGAAATACCTGCTCCCAATGCCTGGCTTCTCCCTGCTCTTGGCAACCACTCCAATTTTGGAGCAAAGTCAGGGCCAAGGCCAGGTGCTGTCACAGCCCAGTCAAGTGTGCACACACTCAAGAGCAGTGCTGACATACCAGCTCCCTGCTGCCTCAGCCCCCTCCCGATTTTGGGTATCTATGAGAAGGGAAGCTGAGGAAGGGCTGAGGACAGCTCATTGCTGGCCTGCAGTTTGCCCCTTGGCAACTACAGCCTGGGTTCCACGAATGGCAGCAGGAGACAAATAGCTTCCTGAGTGGAAGGGTGTGGGTCCCCAGTGAGGCCCCACCTTCAGGCCAGGGAGAGCCTGAAGGCTGGGGCTCAGGCTGCCAGTCTCGCAGATCAGAGTGAATACTTGTGGTGCCTTTTCTGGGCCCTCCTGAGGCTACCCGTGGATCAATTGGTGCACACTTCCTCCTTTCTGAGGCCCATAAGAGCCCTGGGCTCAGCCAGAGCTGAGCAGACATCAGGACTACTGGCTGTAGAGAGGAGCTACGCACTCCAGGACCTCCTCTCTGCTAACAGTGGCAGATGTCAGGATGACTGGCTGCAGAAAGGAACTACCAATTCCAGGGCCTTCTCTCCGCTGAGAGCAGCAGAGACAACAGGACAACCTGCTGCAGAGAGAAGCTACCCACCCCAGGGCCTCCTCTGAGCTATTGTCACTCAATAAAGCTCCTCTGCATTTTGCTCACCCTTGACTTGTCTGCATACCTCAGTCTTCCTGGACACAGGAGAAGAACTCGGATTCATGCATGTCCATGTGAAGAGACCACCAAACAGGCTTTGTGTGAGCAATAAAGCTTTTAATCACCTGGGTGCAGGTGGGCTGAGACCGAAAAGAGAGTCAGTGAAGGGAGATAAGGGTGGGGCCGTTTTATAGATTTGGGTAGGTAAAGGAAAATTACAGTCGAAGGGGATTTGTTCTCTGGCGGACAGGAGTGGGGGTCTCAAGGTGCTCAGTGGGGGAGCTTTTTGAGCCAGGATGAGCCAGGAAAAGGACTTTCACAAGGTAATGTCGTCACTTAAGGCAAGGACTGGCCATTTTCACTTCTCTTGTGGTGGAATGTCATCAGTTAAGGCGGGGCAGGGCATTTTCACTTCTTTTGTGATTCTTCAGTTACTTAAGGTCATCTGGGTGTATATGTGCAAGTCACAGGGGATGCGATGGCTTGGATTGGGCTCAGAGGCCTGACATTCCTGCCTTCTTATATTAATAAGAAAAATAAAACAAAATAATGTTGAAGTGTTGGGGCAGCAAAAATTTTTTGGGGGTGGTATGGAGAGCGAATGGGCGATGTTTCTCAGGGCTGCTTCAAGCGGGATTAGGGGCGGCGTGGGAACCTAGAGTGGGAGAGATTAAGCTGAAGGGAGATCTTGTGGTAAAGGGTGATATTGTGGGGATGTTAGAAGAAACATTTGTCGTATAGAATGATTGATGATGGCCTGGATATGATTTTGGATGAATTGAGAAACTAAACGGAAGATACAAGGTCCGAATAAAAGAAGGAGAAAAATGGGTATTAAAGGACTAAGAATTAGGAGGACCCAGGACTTCCAATTAGTGCCCAAGGGGGTTCAGCATAATTACTTGCTTGGTTGGCAAGTTTTTGGGCTCTATCCTTGAGTTTTTTTATGTTGTCATACACCAGGCCAGATAGATTTAGGTAAAAACAACACTCTTCATTTAAGAATATACAGAGTCTGCCTTTTTCAGCAGTTACTAAGTCAAGGCCTTGGCGGTTTTGGAGGACAACTGTAGCTAAAGAGTCAACTTGGGCCTGGAGGACTGATAAAGTTTGTGATATGTCTGTGATGCTAGCAGAGAAGTCATTAGACAGGCTACAGAAGGTCGTGACAGAGGTTGAAATGCCTGCTATTCCAGTACCGAGAGCAATAGTGGAAGCAGAAAGTCCTAAACCGATCATCAAGGGAATTAGTGGAATAACTCTTTTTTGTCGTGTCAGTGTCATGAGGGGAACAGGGAGCTCTTTAGTCCTGTCATGAGGGGAACAGGGAGCTCTTTGGTCCCATTTGCAAATTGAATTTTGGGGGTAAGGAAAACTAGTGTGCATGTGCCTGTCCAATTAGCAGGTAGACACATGTAGGTAGAGGATCCACAGAGGAAGAAGAGACCTTGTGCGAGGCAAAACTGGAGATGCAAAGTAAAAAGGTGAGAAGGAGTGCTGAAAGGGGTGTCTTGTACCCAGACTCCTAGGGATCCAGCTAGGGCGGCAGCCGTCAGAGGTTGTAATGGGGACTGATGGGGTAACTGTGTAGAGGGGGAGGTTCAATTTTCATGGTGTATGAGAAAACATTGAGTATCTACGAGCAACCTCTCACTGTTACTTTTGGGGCTGGGTATAAGTAAACAAGAAGAGGGCCTGGGAGGAGAGTCTGAGGAGCAAGGGGAAGGTAGCCAAGGATGGAGTGAAATACAGGGCAAGTGTCTTCCTAAGCAATAATTACTGCTAATATTTTTAAGTTTGTCAGTATTGATAGAGGGCTTGTCTGTAATATGGAGCTGGAAGGCTCCAGTTGTTTCAGTGATGTGTGTAGTTGGGCTTTAGAGATGAAGAGTAAAGGAACATCGAGAAGGTGGAAGATTACCTAGGGGAATTCCAGTGGGTTTTTGCTGAGAGATACACAAAGGAGCTGCCACAGGAATAGTAGTCTGTGTTGTGAGAGGTCCAAATATGGGGGGAGTAGAGTTAATATAAGGAGAAAGGTTTTTTAAATAAGTGCGGAGGAGGGTGGCAGCTTGCTGATGTGAAATGTCTGAGGAAGTCTTGCTGGACCTGTCTGGAAAGTCAATGAGTTCTTCAGGAGGGTAAAGGTGAGGGCTCTTAAAGGAAGTTCGGAGGTGTAAGGAGACAGGAGATATTGCCCAGTCTGTCTGTCTGTAAGGCAGGGACAGCTGTGTAGGCACTGGAAGAAAGGGAAATGCAAAGCCAGCAGTTGTTCACTAAGGAGGGATTAGAAGTGGCTAGGAGAGAATGGGTAAGGTTGATAGTGTGGTGGAGATAGCTGGGGAGAGGTAAAGGATGGCATAAGAATGGGAATGAGAATAAGAGTGAGTATAGAAGTAAAGAATAGAACTTCATCAGCGTGGAAGTATTGGAGGGTGCCCTGCCAGCAAAGATCATCTATTCACTCTAAGAGGGAGTTAAGAGTGGTGGTTTGGGGATAGCACCAAGAGATATCAGCTGTGATGGCTTGAAGAAACAGTGTAAACTGGCAGTGTAAACAAGAGTAGGGCATTTATAAGTAGTTGAGAACGGAGAATAGGAGTATGACTAGACAGAAAATAGTAGGGATGACTAGTTTTTTGGGGCTTGGCCTAAGTGGTGGGGGTGACTTCGTAAAGCCCTGTTGCAAAAAGTAGGGTAAGGACGAACAGACCTAATAGAATGAAGGGATGTATTAGGCTCATAAGGGATATTACTGTTCTTCAGAAATATGAGTAAGTTTAAGGGAAGTAGGGGAGAGTACTTACGACTTCCAGGAGGAAGAAGAGGGATTAGGCTAGCTGTCTGATGGACGCAGCTTTATTCTGGAACGGTAAACCCAGTGTGGAGGATCCTGCAGGTGGACGGCAGTCGGGGTACTATAGATGACTAAGTAGGGTCTGGTCCATCGAGGTTGTAGAGTTTGAGGGGTCAGATTCTTAACAAGAACTGATCATCCAGCTAGGGTGTCTTCATATGGCTGGGGATCTGGAGTAGGCAAGAGAAGATTAGCAGCCTGGTGAATTTCCTGTCTAGCCTGTTGGAGGACTGGAAGATAGTCGCCTAGAGGGCTGGCCTCTGGGATGAGGTTGGGGCCAAGCAAGAAAGTACGTCCATATAAAAGTTCAAATGGACTGTACCCTTAGCATCTCAAGGACAGGTTCTAATTCTGAGAAGGGCAAGAGGTAAAAGTACTGTCCAATCCTTTTTAAGTTGGAGGCTGAGCTTGGTGAGGTGTGTCTTTAAAAGACCATTAGTCCATTCTACCTTTCCTGAAGATTGAGGATGGTAAGGGATATGAAGGTTTCACTGAATAACAAGAGCCTGAGAAACTGCTTGGGTGATTTGACTAGTAAAGGCTGGTCCGTTATCAGACTGTATAGAGGTGGGAAGGCCAAACTGAGGAATTATGTCTGACAGAAAGGAAGAAATGACCGCGGTGGCCTTCTCAGACCCTGTGGGAAAGGCCTCTACCCATCCAGTGAAAGTGTCTACCCAGACTAAGAGGTATTTTAGTTTTCTGACTCGGGGCATGTGAGTAAAGTCAATTTGCCAGTCCTGGGCAGGGACAAATCCCCGAGCTTGATGTGTAGGAAAGGGATGGGGCCTGAACAATCCCTGAGGAGGAGTAGAATAGCAGATGGAACACTGAGAAGTGATCTCCTTGAGGACAGATTTCCATGATGGAAAGGAAATGAGAGGTTCTAAGAGACGGGCTAGCGGCTTATTACCTACATGGAAGAGGTTATGAAATGACAACAGAATAGAAGGGGCCTGTGAGGCTGGAAGGAGATATTTTCCTTGGTCTAAGAACCATTTGCCTTGTGTGGGAAGAGATTGATAGGTGGTAGTTTCAGCGGGGGAGTAGGTGGGAGTGACCGATGTGAAGGAGAAAAACTGGCCATGAGGGACAGAAGTTGGAATGCTAGCTGCTTGTCTAGCCACCTTATCAGCATAAGCATTGCTAGAGCAATGGGATCTGATGCCTTTTGATGCCCCTTGCAGAGAATGACTCCAGCTTCCTTTGGAAGTAAAGCGGCTTTGAGAAGCGTTTTTTTAGTAAAGAGGGATTAATGATAGAGGAGCCATGTGTAGTGAGGAAACCTCTTGCATGGTGGTGAGGATATGGAAGGCATATTTAGAGTCTGTATAAATATTGATGTGTAGTACCTTTTGCAAGAGTGAGGGCCTGAGTTAAGGCAACTAGTTCGGCTTGCTGAGAGGTAGTGGAGGGGCGCAGAGCCGTAGCCTCAATAACAGATGTGGAAGATACTATTGCATAGCCTGCCTTTGCTGGTGAGTGGCGATTAGGCCTGGTGGAACTGCCATCAATAAACCAAGTGTGATCAGGGTGAGAAACAGGGAAGAAGGAAATGTGGGGAAATGGGGTGAACGTCAAGTGGATCAGAGAGATGCAGCCATGAGGGTCAGGTGTGGTATCCGGAATAATGTGGGAGGCTGGATTGAAGTCCAGGCCAGGAACAATGGTAATTGTGGGAGACTCAACAAAGAGTGAGTATAGCTGAAAGAGCCGGGGAGCAGAAAGTATATGCATCAGGTGGGAGGAAGAAAGTAGATTTTGGAAGTTATGAGAACTGTAGAGAGTGAGTTGAGCATAGTTTGTGATTTTTAGGGCCTCTAAAACTATTAAAGCAGTGGCAGCCACTGCATGCAGACATGAGGGCTAGGCTAAAACAGTAAGGTCAAGTTGTTCGGTAGAAAGGCTACAGGTTGTGGCCCCGGCTCTTGTGTAAGAATTCTGACTGCACTAACCATGCCTAGGAAGGAAAGGAGTTGTTGTTTCGTAGAAGGGATTGGGGTTTGGGAGATTATTCAGACACAATCAGCAGGGAGAGCACATGTGTTTTTATGAGAATTATGTCGAGATAGGTAACAGATGAGGAAGAAATCTGGGCTTGACTGAAGTAAAGGGGGCCGTCTGCGAAGACTTACGGCAGTATAGCCCAGGTAATTTGCTGAGCCTGATGGGTGTCAGGGTCAGTCCAAGTGAAAGCGAAGAGAGGCTGGGATGAAGGGTGCAAAGGAATAGTAAAGAAAGCATGTTTGAGATCTAGAACAGAATAATGGGTTGTGGAGGGAGGTATTGAGGATAGGAGAGTATATGGGTTTGGCACCATGGGGTGGATAGGCAAAACAATTTGGTTGATAAGGCGCAGATCTTGAACCTATAAGCCTTGTCTGGTTTTAGAACAGGTGAAATGGGGGAATTGTAAGGGGAGTTTATAGGTTTTAGAAGCCCATGCTGTAGCAGGTGAGTGATAACAGGCTTTAATCCTTTTAAAGTGTGCTGTGGGATGGGATATTGGCATTGAGCGGGGTAAGGGTGATTAGGTTTCAATGGGATGGTAATGGGCATGTGATCGGTTGCCAGGGAAGGAGTAGAGATGTCCCATACTTGTGGGTTAAGGTGGGGGGATACGAGAGGAAGATGCAAAGGAGGCTTTGGGTTGGGGAGAAGGGCGGCAATGAGATGCAGCTGTAGCCTAGGAACAGTCAGGGAAGCAGATAATTTAGTTAAAATGTCTCAGCCTAATAAGGGAACTGGGCAGGTGGGGATAATTTAAAAAGAGTGCATAAAAGAATGTTTTCTAAGTTGGCACCAGAGTTGGGGAGTTTTAAGAGGTTTAGAAGCCTGGCCGTCAATACCTACAACAGTTATGGAGGCAAGGGGAAACAGGCCCTTGAAAAGAAGGTAATGTGGAGTGGGTAGCCTCCGTATTCACAAAGAAGGGGACGGACTTACCCGCCACTGTGAGAGTTACCCAGAGCACCTGTGATGGTCCTGTAGGCTTCCAAGGCAATTGGGCAGTGTCAGTCTTCAGCTGCTAAGCCGAGAAGATCTGGGAAGGAGTCAGAGAGCCTTGGGCCGGAGTTCCAGGGGCTCTGGGAGTAGCTGCCAGGTAAGTTGAACAGTCTGATTTTCACTGGGGTCCTGCACAGATGGGATGCGGCTTAGGAGGAATCCCGGGCTGTGGGCGTTCCTTGGCCCAGTGGCCAGATTTCTGGCACTTGTAGCAAGCTCCTGGGGGAGGAGGTTCTGGAGGAACCCCTGGCAGCTGCAGTTCAGGCATTTGGAGTTCTTGTGTGCTGGAGATGTGGCTGGGGTTTGTCTCACAGTGGAGGCAACGAATTGCAACTCAGAAATACATTGCTACTTGGCTGCCTCTACTCTATTATTGTACACCTTGAAGGTGAGGTTAATTAAGTCCTGTTGTGGGGTTTGAGGGCCAGAATTTAATTTTTGGAGTTTTTATTTAATGTCAGGAGCGGATTGGGTAATAAAATGTATATTGAGAATAAGATGGCCGTTTGACGTTTTAGGGTCTAGGGCTGTAAAGCGTCTCAGGGTTGCTGCCGAATGAGCCATGAACTGGGCTGGGTTTTTCATATTTGATGAAAGAGCCTAAACACTAACTGATTTGGGAGAGGTCGGATAAAGAAAAAGGAGCATTAACCTTGACTATGCCTTTAGCGTCAGCTACCTTTTTAAGAGGAAATTGCTGGGCACGTGGGGGAGGGCTAGTCACAGAGAGAAACTGTGAGCTGGACCGGGTGTGAGGAGGGGAGGTGATAAAAGGATTATAGGGTTGGGGAGTAGAGGCTGAGGAAGAATAGGGATCTGGCTCAGCCTGGCAAGGGGTAGCCTGGGGAGGAGGGGAGCGGTCAGATGGGTCTGTAGAAAAGGAAGATTAGAAAGACTCAGTGATGCTTGGGGTTGGGACTGAGAGAACAGGTGGGAGGGAAAGAAGGAGGATTTGGGACGAGTCGCATTGGGAACAGAGAGTAGGGAGGGAACAATGTGTAAAAGAAAGCCTGGATGTCAGGCACCTCAGACCATTTGCCCATTTTACGACAAGAATCATCTAGATCTTGAAGGATGGAAAAATCAAAAGTGCCGTTTTCTGGCCATTTAGAGCCATTGTCAAGTTTGTATTGGGGCCAAGCAGTGTTGCAGAAGAAGATAAGGCATTTAGGTTTTAGGTCAGGTGTGAGTTGAAGAGGTTTTAAGTTCTTGAGAATACAGGCTAAGGGAGAAGGAGGAATGGAGGGTGGAAAGTTGTCCATAGTGAAGGAGGCAAGCCCAGAGAAAAGACAGAGACACGGAGGGAAGGGGTTTGGGGGTTCTTACCTTCCAGAAAAGCGGGAAAGGGGTCAGGGCACAGAAATAAGGGGTTAGGGCGCAGAGATAAGAGGTCGGGGCATGGAAATAAGGGGTTGGGGCACAGAGATAAAAGGTTGGGGTGTAGAGATAAGAGGTCAGAGCACGGAAATAAGGGATCGGGGGGTTCTTGCCCCCAGAAAAGCAGAGAAGGGGTAGAGACACGGAGAGAAGGGGTTGGGGGGTTCTTGCCCCCTGGAAAAGTGGTACTTGCTCTAAGGGTGAAGGAGAAGGGGTTGGGGGGCTCTTGCCTCCCAGAAAAGCGGAGAAAGGGTAGAGACATGGAGAGAAGGGCTTGAGGGGTTTCTTGCCCCCCAGAAAAGCGGTACTTGCTGCTAAGGGTGAAGGACCAAGGCAAGCATCCCCGTGTGGTCAGACACCTCTGAAACGTGGGTGAATAATCAGGCAAGCATCCCCGTGTGATTAAACACCAAGGGAAGACTGTCTTCCCAAGTCCGTGACCGGCGCCGGAGTTTTGGGTCCACGGATAAAACGCATCTCCTGTCTCCACCAGAAAAGGAAAGGAACTGAAATTAAGAGAGGGAGAGATTGAAGGGTGGCGCCAAGATTGAAAGGAGAAAGTGGTTGAGGGATAGTGAGAGAGGTTGGAGAAGAGAGTAAGAAGAGGCCACTTATCTGATTTAAAATTGATGAGATGTTCCTTGGGCTGGTGGGTCTGAGGACCCAAGGTCGTAGGTGGATCTTTTTCACAGAGCAAAGAGCAGGAGGACAGGGGATTGATCTCCCAAGGGAGGTCCCCTGATCCAAGTCACGGCACCAAATTTCATGCGCGTTCGTGTGAAGAGACCACCAAACAGGCTTTGTGTGAGCAATAAAGTTTTAATCACCTGGGTGCAGGCGGGCTGAATCTGAAAAGAGAGTCAGGGAAGGGAGATAAGGGTGGAGCCGTTTTATAGGATTTGGGTAGATAAAGGAAAATTACAGTCAAAGGGGATTTGTTCTCTGGCGGGCAGGAGTGGGGATAGCAAGGTGCTCAGTGGGGGAGCTTTTTGTGCCAGGATGAGCCAGGAAAAGGACTTTCACAAGGTAATGTCATCACTTAAGGCAAGGACCAGCCATTTTCACTTCTTTTGTGGTGTAATGTCATCAGTTAAGGCGGGGCAGGGCATTTTCACTTCTTTTGTGATTCTTCGGTTACTTCAGGCCATCTGGGTGTATATGTGCAAGTCACAGGGGATGTGATGGCTTGGCTTGGGCTCAGAGGCCTGACACTCAGGACCCGCTGAGTGAGGCTAAAAGAGCTGTAATCTAAACAGGGCTGAGACATGCCCCTTGCTCACCACAAAGTGGGCAAAGAGAAAAAAAGAAGAGCTGTGATTCTCTGGGGAGCCCAGACCTAGGAGGTCCCCAAGCCAAAGAACTGTGACTCCCTCTTTGGGGCCCTAGGTTTCCTCCTGCCTCCAAGCTGCTGGGTGCTACCGTGTCCCCTGGTGCCAGCCATGGAAGCTTCTTGCAGTGTGCTTGGTCCAGCCATAGCCTGGCAGAGAGCCAGTGCCCATGCTAGCACCTGGAGCTGCCCACCCTACTGCGGCAGCCACTGTCTCTGACCGTGCAGTGGCCAGATCCCACACTCACTCACACACTTCTCGCTGCTCCATGCAGTCTCCCTCGGTAGGCACGGGATTCAGGCCAGTAGCATAAGCCAAGTGCAGCCTGCCAGGCTGAGTGGGCAGAATGATCCCAGTGGACCCAAGCAAAACTCAGGAAAATGCACCACTAGCAGTAGGTTTCAGGCCAGAAAAGTGACATCCCAAAGATCCTGTAAGAATTTAACTGGGGTATGCTCTGAGAAATGTGTTATTAGGCAATTTTGTCATTGTGTGAACATCTTCACATGTACTTACACGTACCTAGATGATATAGCCTACTGCAAACCGAGGCTATATGATACACCCTATTGCTCCTAGGCCGGGGGTCCCCAACCCCCGGGCCATGGACCAGTGCAGATTTGTGGCCTGTTAGGAACCAGGCCACACAGCAGGAGGTGAGTGGCTGGTGAGAAAGCATTACTGCCTGAGCTCTACCTCCTGCTCGATCAGCAGTGGCATTAGATTCTCCTAGGAGCGTGAATCCTATTGCAAAGTTCACAAGCAAGGGATCTAGGTTTCATGCTCCTTATGGGGATCTAACTAATACCTGATGATCTGAAGTGGAACAGTTTCATTTCAAAACCATTCCCCAACCCATTCCACAACCCCCCATGCATGGAAAAATTATCTTCCACAAAACCTGTCCCTGGTGCCAAAAAGGTTGGGGACTGCTGTCCTAGACTACAAACATGTATAGCATGTTACTGTACTAAATACTGTAAGCAGTTGTAACACAATGGTATTTGTGTATCTAAACATATTTAAATATAGATATGTTTATAAAGATACAGTAAAATATATTGTACTAAATATTTTAAAATTGTACATTTGTACAGGACACTTACCATAGAGAAAGCTTGCAGGACTAAAAGTTATTCTGGGTGAGTCAGTTAGTGAGTGGTGAGTGAATGTGAGGGTCTAAAACATTAGTCTACAGTTCTGGAGGCTTTACGATACTGTACACTGAGGCTATCCAAATTTATATTAAATACTTTTTCTTCAATAATGAATTGACTTTAGCTTACTAAAACATTTCTACTTTATAAACTTTTAATTTTTAAAGAAGTTTATGAGTCTTTTATAGTAGCACTCATTTTAAAACATCAATACATTGTACAGTTGCACACAAATATTTTCTTTATATCTTTATTCTATGATTTTTTTCTATTTAAAAATTGTTATTAATTAGTTATTTTTTTAAAAATTTTGTTAAAAACTAAGACTCAAACACACATATTAGCATAGGCCTACACAGGGTCAGGATCAATATCACTGTCTTCTATCTCTACACTTTGTCCCACTGGAAGGTCTTCAGTGGCAACAACATTCATGGAGCTGTCATCTCCTGTGATAACAATGCCTTCTCCAGCAGTAACTCCTAAAAGACTACCTGAGGCTCTTCTTGAGGTTTCACTCTTTATATAAATAAGTATTATGACATTTAGAAACCCACAATGTTATTAACTGATAGGAATTTTCAGCTCAATGATAATATTATGGGACCACTGTATTATATGTGGTCCATTGTTGAAAGAAAAGTTCTTATGCAATACATGACTGTACAACAGCATTCAAAACAGGTTGGGATTTCATTTCCTCCCCAGGAGGTAGCTCCCTGCCCTGTGAGCTCCTCACCATTCTGCTACACCAAGTGCTGTAAGCCCTGCAGTGGAGCCTCTGTACTGACAGAAGGAACCTTTCTTCTAGATAAAGTGACACTCTCGGCAAAATAAAAGTGTGGTTATGAAAAAATAAGTATGTAAAAGACAGTGGAAAGAGAGATCAGTGCAATGGGGAAGAAAAACAGAGAACCAGTAAGATGCCACACCTGCACAAATCAAGATAACATAAAAGCCCTGTTACATGTGAAAAAAAAATTAAAAACCCTCCAGGTGAGTAGTACTAGGGCTTTCCTTTGAAGTGCTGTGGACAAATATAGGAACACAGGGTAGGAAGTGTTAGAGAATCCTGAGTCTAAACAGGCCTAAGAGATCTCTAGCACTTCCTGTACTGGTGTCTTCAGGAGATTGTGGTTTCCTAAGGGCTTTACACCTTTGTGATTAGGATAAAACTTGTATGGTTGCCTTCGCAGCAGACTGAGCAGTTAAGTATTCCTCCTTAAAAGGCTAAATATGCAGAAGTGATAGTGACATAAAAGCTGCTGTCATTTAGTTTGGTTTAAAATGTGTTATTTAAGGGATATATGGATAATAAGGGAAGTTGGAAGAGTAAGGAGAGGAATAATAATCTGAGAATAAAAGATTCACTCTAGATGGCAGGGAAATGATAGCAGTTGCTCGAGGAAGAGATGCTCTGCTCTTTAGGTAAATATTTCAGAAATTCTTCATATTCTTCTGTAACTTTTATTATACATATAATTTTATGCTTCTATAAATGCTCCAAACACATAAATGAACACCTAGATGCAATTCATATCCCTTCCAGTTTAAAAAAGTAAATTTGTCTGCAAAAAATAACCCAAAATGCCACACAGCAAAATAAGAGCAATTTGGGTTTAAAAGAAGAGTCTGACAAGTGGGAGAGAAGACAGACAGCACTACATGACCTCCAGCCAATTTCCTCTGTCCAGTTGAAGTGATTATCCACATATTATTAAGATTGGTATACTTTTCATTACAGGCACTGTGTAGAATTTACACAATTTTAATTATACCATAATAGAAGAATTTGTTTCACTCAAATAACATTTTTCTTTCTTGCAGAAGGGCAAAAATACTGTAGCAAAGATTCTAGTTCCAGGCAATAATTTCAGGCAAGTGCTTCTCTTCACTTTCTCCTAAAATGACTAAAGAAATATAGATATACTTATCTTTAGACAACTGGGAAGGGTGACTTGTACAGTTCTGAAACTTGAAAATTTCTATTAATAAGGCAGAGGAAATCAGATAGAGGGAAGATTTGATCAAGGACATGTTATCACTCCACATGACAAAAGCATGTGAGTGATGGGGCAAGATCTGAGGCAGAATATTGCAAATCATCCAAAGGTGAGAAACTGAGTAGAGATGAGAAGGACTACAGTGAGACAATGAGACAGGGGACTTGGGCAATGCAAGTTTTATATGTGACTTCAGAGATGAAATATGTTCTGGAAATCAGCCAGTAACAGATGCAGTGAATATTGTGCAGAGGAAAGTGAAGGAATGCCCGTGCTCTAAAAAAATTAGCAAATAATATTAATAATGACATTAAGTTCTTGCAATGGCAACGATAAAACCAATGGCAACAACACTGTGTCGCAGCTATGGATGACTTCTCACAGAACACTGTAAGTGTTACAAACTCTTTTACTCCCATTACCTTCTTTCGTGGAACCTGACACTACTGGGTAACACGAAAAGAGTCATGAGAACAACCTAGTGCTCAAACTGATAAAATATTACTGATTCCAAACTATCCTGTGAAACACCAGAGGGAATCAATTTCACTCGTTCTCCATCCAGAGTTTCTTCCAGGCAACAATTTTATAAAATAGAGTGGCTGGGACAATGCAGGCGAGAGACTTTCTGATTCATGATTATGAGTGGACTTTCACCTAATTCATTGGGAGAAATAGCAAATGCTGAGAAGCTTTGTTGTTTACAGGAGGATCAAAGAAAATCTGCTCTGCATGACTGCCAGTCCTTCCTTCATGACACCATTCTTTCCCTATTGCACTGTGTTCACTCAAACTTCGCCAGGATTCCTTCTATATTTTAGCCAATAAAACCACATTTCTCTAACACTATTTTCTCACATTTCCTTTTGATATATACATTTATTTTTGCTATACTCTGATTAACGCAGGGAAGGTATCCCATAACCTGATTTGTGCTACTTCAGTGGTTTGGTTTCAGATGGACCATATATCTATTTGGTCAAATTTCAACTATAATGATGGCAGCAGCAGCCCATCTGGAGCAGCCACTGCCAAGAGGGTGGCTGCAGCAGGGGAGGCATGGCTGGGCTGCATGCTCAGTGGAGCCAGTGGGAGCCGGGAGCAGGCAGGAGCCCTGCCCTCCCAGGCACAGCTGCAACCACCCAGGCACAGCTGCAGACCTGGGCCTCCCTGTGCTCTTGGAGGCTGGGAGCAGGTGGGAGCCCTGCCCTCCCAGGCACAACTGCAACTGCCCAAACTGTGACTGCAGACCTGAGCAACTCGGCATTCTCAGAGTCCTGAGAAGGCGCCCCCATTCCCACAGGCTCAGAGGTGTCTGCTCCTGCTTCCTGGCCTCTCCCCACTCTCAGCTCCTGCTCCACTCTTGGTGTGAGGTTGGGGCCAAACCTGGATGCTGTTGCAGCCTGGGCGGGTGTTCACACACTCGGAGCAGTGCTGGCATGCCAGCCTTCTGCCATCTTGGCCTCTTCTGGACTTTGGGCACCGATGAGCATGGGAGTGAGGCTGAGAGGGGGCTGAGGACAGCTGGGAGCTGACTTGCAGACACCCTTGTCACAAACAGGTGGCAGGAGGCAGCCAGGCTCCTGGGCGGAAGGAGGTGGGTCCCTGTTGAAGCCCCACCTTCAAGCCTGGGAGAGCCTAAAGCCTGGGGGCTGGGCTGCTGGTCCTGCAGACCCGAGGTGAAACTTGGGCATACTTTTTCCAGGCCCACCATGGCCACCCATGAACCAATCGACATGCACTTCTTCCCCTCCAAGGCCCATAAAAGCCCTGGAATCAGTCAGACTTGAGACTACAGGATGACCAGTTGTAGAGAGGAGCTACCCATTTTAGGGTCTCCTCTCTTCTGAAAGCTAAACATTTGTCAGGACAACCCGCCTGTGGAGAGAAACTACCCAGTGTGGGTCTCCTCTGAGCTGTTCTGTCCCTCAACAGAGCTCTTCTTCACCTTCCTCACTCACCACTTGTCCGCGTACCTCATTCTTCCTGAATGGCAGGACAAGAACTTGGAACCCACCGAATGGCAGGGCTGAAAGAGCTGTAACACAAATAAAGCTGAAACTGCCCCTTGCTCGCCACATTGCAGGCAGCAAGAAGGAGAGAAGCAGCTGCGGCCCTTTGAGGATCCCAGACCTGGGAGCTCTCTGAGCCAGGGCTGTCACACCCTCTTTGGGGCTCTGCAGTTCCTGGTGTCTCCAGGCTTCCAAACACCACTGCATTCCCAGGTGCCAGCCATGGAAGCTGCTTATGGTATGCCTGGTCCAGCCACAGCCTTGCAGGGAGCTGGCACCCATGCCGGCACCTGGAACTGCCCGCCCTTCCACAGCTAGCATCCCTGGCTGTGCGCAGTGGCCAGATCCTATGCTCCCACACACACCCGTGGCCGTTCCATGCCTGGCAGGTGTGGGATCCAGTCCAGTAGCGTGAGCCAAACGCAGCCTGCCAGGCCAAGTGGGTGGAACAAGCCCAGCGGGCCCAAGCATAACTCAGGCATAGGTGCCACTGGCCATAGAGGTTTCCAGCCGATAAAACATTGCCCCAAAAATCCCTTGACAATAAGAACTTATATAACTTTCATAGGGTATGGAATGTAATCAGGCTATAATTTTCTCCGGAGTAATTTATTTATTCCTTGAAAAGTCTTAGTGACCTATCCATGTTTCCGTGGTTTCACTAACTTCACGCAACAGGCATCTACTAGATACATTTAACAATTTATTCACTTCCTATACAATTTATCCTTCTTTTGAATTCTTTGTCTAGTTAATGCTATTAATCACTTAAATAGTTTCATTGCTGTTACCTTTCTTGATAAAAACTAAGCTGTGGAAGCTGCTTATGGTATGCCCGGTCCAGCCAAAGCCTCACAGGGAGCTGGCAACCATGCCGGCACCTGGAGCTGACTGCGCCTCCACAGCTGGCATCCCTGGCTGTTTGCAGTGGCCAAATCCTAAGAATATGCTAAGAATATACTTTTAAGTAATTTAAAATCCATCTACCATTTGATCCATACATCACAATTCTAGAAATGTATTCTAATGAGCAAGTATACAATTTTGTGTAGATACATGACCAAGAATGCAAAATCCAGAACTGGTTGCAAAGATGAAAAAATAAGTTTGTATATTAGAACTTATTAATCTTAATTTGATTATAGAAAATGTGTATTTATATAATGCATAACCATTAAAATAATACTAGAGAGCTATATTTACTTCCTTATGCAATACTTATATTATGATTCTCCCTTGATGTATGATTACCTATTAATATAAGCTATATATGCATATTAAGAATACCATATAATTTACATTAAATATGTAAAATTCACGAATAATCACACCTCCCATGAATTAACTTTTTCTTCATTGCCTTCATTTTTCTGAACTGCGATAAAGCTATAAAAAATATATATGACTTTAAGAAAGGATGAATCAAGCTAACTTCATTTGCAATAAGAATAAATTTCAACCTAAGAGAGACAAGAAAATCATGCATAAATGAGATGAATTAGTAAACAAATTATTCTGTATTTTGGCTAATTTTAAACATTAAAATTATTTTATCATTAGTTTTTAAATATATTCCCTTTATTAAATATATAAGACAAATTTTAGGGGGAGTGGGTTGGGGGGCATTCTTTTGGCCAAGTTAAGCCAAGTGTTATATATATATATATATATACTATCCATAGAAAATATATAGGTAAATTTTCACAACTTAGTTCTTAAAAACTCAACAATGAAAAAAGAACTAACCTAACAGTAGCTTAATAAAGAGAAATATAAAAATTTGTTAAATATAAACATAATCTAAGTATCAGTCACTAGACTGAAAAGTAAAGATTTCAAAAATTTCTACCAAATTAATTTATAACCCATGTGATTACTATCATATGTTAATTTGGGGAATTTTTTTGATTTAAAATAATTTCACATATAATCACAAAAATAATGTAACAAAGACAAGCACATACTAAAAATCAAATAAGAAAGTAGATTAATTATAGATATATAAAACTTCAAATCATTCTGCACATTAAAGAAATATAAATGTATGGGGATTATAAGTACATTTAAAATATGGTTTTAAAATATAAATGGGGATTATAAGTACATTTAAAATATGGTTTTATGGTTATGTTTGGGGAAAACTCAATAACAACAACAACAACAACAAACCTACATGAAAAAGTTATTTCTACACCCAACACTTTAAAAATTAGCCAATGGACTGGAAAGACAAATGAACAAAATGAAAATATTTAAATATTGGAAATATAAGGGTATATGTGGTTAGTATTTATTATATCCCTGAGTTTAGTAGGCTCTGTTTGTATACATGAGAATGAATCATAAAAAATGCAAATACACCCGATGCAGAGAATTATGGGAGAAAAAAATAGGACATAAAATCAACTCATTTCCTGCACCACTAACTCTAGATTATCTTTCTCCAGGGTAAAATAGATGCTGAGTTGCAAAGAGTAGGTTGCAAGTGAAATTGTATTTGCTACTTAAGCTACAGAAGGAAACAGACATTTTTCCCTTGTGATCTGGACTGGCCATCAAGAGAGCAACACTGATATGTCTAGAATTAAGATTAAGCGTTGGGTTTAGGGAAAAGCCTGATCCTAGATCTCTGTGACCTCTAAGAAGGATGGTCAACGTCAGCTCAATAGCTCTTTCATTTTTAGAGAAGCAACGAAATGGCTGAATGATTCATTTAAGAAATTAAAACATTTTGCCACTGAGGTTCCAAGGCTCTGAAGACATTAAGGAATAGGAATGATTTCTCTAGTACCTCAGATTGAGACCAGCAGCATGCCTCCTTCCTCCACAATGGGTCAAGGCAAAAGTATACACTATACCTGAGCTTTAACTAACAAACAGACCAAGATAAAAATACATATATTTAAAAGAGACAGAAATATGAGAAAAAAGACATCAAACAAAACATACATTCAGTAATACACATTTGGAGCATGGCAGAATGATTGAACAACACATATTGTTTGTCAAAATATGAAAAACATTCAAAAATCATGAAAAAATAACAGAAAACTTGCAACATAATGGGCTTTATCTTTATTATACAAATATTATTCTGAATTAATAACAAAATGGTAACTCCAATTTTTAGAAAATGAGCAAAAAAACTAATTCTAAGGTCAAAATATATTTTACAAACTTACCCCTCCTCAGTAATAACCAACAATTGCCAATCAATATGTAATGTATTTTTGAGCTATCAAATATTATATTTCATCAAAACAAAGACACGTTATTTATGAGATGTACTGCTATGTTGTGAATACCAAAGAAAATAAAATGCCAGTCTTACTACATATGGCAAAATGGTATGAAACCGTTGATGATAAATTGCATTTCAATTTCAGAGATTATAATATGAAAAATGGAGTCTATGAAATATAGAAAAGATAACTGCTCATAAAATGTTTTTGTATTTCTTAGATGATTTTCACTTGATTATTTGTAAAATATTATTTCAAAAATAGAAGATGGCAAAAAAATTCAATAATTAAGGAAACAAAATTTTAGAATGTGCTTGGATCATACCTGATCAAGTGTGTTCAATAATTCCTTAGAAATATGAAAAGTTAATATAGGAGTATTACATTATTTTAATTTATTGCATATAATTCTGTTTCAGTGAAATATAATAAATTACATAGAATAGTCATATCAAATTAAGATTTTTAACATGAATTAATTTACTAGATTCAGTGCATGTGTGAAGAAAGCATAAAGGCTTAGACAAAGGAAAATCTTTTGTAAAATATAAAATGAGATATAAAAAAATGAAGTACTCACTACTTAAAATTACTGTCATGTTGGTTTTAGTACTAATAGATGGTTCCTTCCTTCCTTCCTTCGTTTTTTCCTTCCTTTTCTTTTCTTTACTTTTACCATCCCTCCCTCTTTTCCTCCCTTACTTTTCTAAATTATTTTCTCTTTTTCTGGGAAAAAGAAAAAAAGAGTGCTACAATGTACAAACGTTTATTTTAGAGATGAGGTGACAAATGAAAAATGAGATTATATTTACTGTCATGTAAAATGTAAGTTCATATTGTGCCTTATGAACAAGATAAATTTATTACATACACTCAGAGTAAATGGGTAGCATTTCCATCAGAGTTTAACTTTGTTCACTGCATGTTTACCATTAGTTTGTTTTGTTATGGTTGATGTTTGAAGTGAAATAGACAGCAAATACATGAAGTTGCTACGCCGAATTGCACCCCCAACCCATTTCTGATTTTGTTTTTCTTCCTTAATCCTGAAGAAAAAGTATTGTTTCAGGGCAGTTCTTCCTTCAGAAAGGCATTTATAACAGAACGCATATGCAATCCCATATAAACTGGTTTCAAAAAATTCAAATGCAGACTCTAGGAAAATATTATAATAATTTACTTTTTTAAGTGACCCTGTAAAGTGTTTTCATTCCCATTTTGTGTAGAGAATAAAACAGTCTCAAAGACGATAAGCAATTTATGCAAATTTATTCAACTTTGAGTATAGGCTATTTATTTCATGCTGACAGAAAGAGCTCATGTTTGTGAAGGTCTGAAAAAAATTGTCCAAGAACAAATTTTAAAAATCAGAGAAGTGAAATATTTAGACTAAGATATAATTTCAAAGATACAGCAAAAAATGTTTAGACATTTCTTGTATCTTTTATTTTGACGGAGGTTCTCACTCTGCCACCAAGGTGGTGGGAAGGCAGTGGTGTAATAATCACTGTTCATTACAACTTTAACCTCCTTGGTTCAAGCAATCCTTTCACCTCACATTTTGATGTTTTGTAGAGATGAGGTCTCACTATGTTGTCCAGGCTGGTTATGAACTCTTGGCTCAAGCCATCTTCCTGCCTCAGCCTCCCAAAGTGCTGAGATTACAGGTGTGAGCCACAGAACCTGGCTCTTGTATCTTAAGTAGACCATCTGTTAGAATGTACATTTTGTTTCTAAAAAATAATGAATCCATGATTCTGCAAATATTACGGTATTAAGTAATTCAAACCATGTACAAAATACAAAGGAAAACTAAGCCTGAAATTCCTCCAATGAGAAATAACCATCATCAACTCATTTGAATATACTTTCAGACATTTCTTTGCATAAATACAAATGGAAACATAGAGTGAGAGCTAAATTAATAGGCAGACACCAAAATGAAAATTATATTTTACCGTTTTTACTATAAGAACTGTCTTTTTATACAAAAAATCAAATTTGATTTTGCTGTACTTTATAAGAAAAAAAAACACAAACCAAATTAACTGTTGAATTTCAAATAAATATTTAGTAGGTTGTACTTACTTGAATATTACTCCAGGGTAAATTTAAAAGATTACATTTAGATATGGTACTCATTTTTAAAACACCATGTTTCAAATTTGGAAAGTACTGTTTCATCCACTGCTCTGAAAGATAAATTACGCTTTTTACATTGCCTCTCATTTTTCTTCTCCTCATGCCTGAGTGTTGCTAACACTTTTACGTTAATATGGTTTATGTTTTCCATATTATAGAAAGTAAGCCTTTTTCCTCTGAGTTGTTTAGTATTAATCCCAGGTGTGGACTCACCATATCACTTTGTCATAGCTTCTTTTCCTAATTTATTTAGATTTATCACTGGATTCGGTTTTGTTATGAAGGGTTTTAGTTCTCCTTTTTCTTGTTCATTTATGATGAAGGACTGAGAGGTTTTAACTTCTGTTAAGAGTATCTGTCTATATTGCCTTTATTGCTTAACCATGCAATTGCATATTTTCTTTTTGAGTCATATTTTATTTTCCTCAGAACTTTGCAGACTGCTCCATTAACTTTTGGTATAGTTTTTGGAAAGATCAAAGAAAGCACATGCAGGAAGTCAGGAAGCACAGAGCCTAGTTGACTGTATGTAAATCTTAAATTTAGATTTGAGAGTTTATTTCTTTATTTCAGTGCATTTTAAATAATGTTGAAACATGATTTGACAGGAATAGTGTTTTAATCAGCCAGTATGACCTTTCCTCATCTCTCATTTAAGAGTCTGGGATTGGCTACCACATTTTCACATAATATATGAGTTCTTCCTTTAGATTTGTAAATGAATCATCTTGACTACCCTACTTATATTAATGGGGAAAATGGTTTGAGTGCCTTGAAGTTGCTATTCCTGTACCATTAAAAAATGCTTCCTGCTTTAGAAACATAGTGATTGAGGTCTTGACTTTAGAGTCTTTTGAGTGTTTCTGGAGTCTGTTTTGTTAATCTCTCTCCATTTTTCTTTTTAGCCCATTAACACCTTTTCCCCACGGTGCCTCTTCAGTTGAGGTCACAATATCTTAAAGCTAGAGAGATTTATATTGCAAATTTTTACTCTCATGGCAAATCAAGAAGAATTCTTTCTCAACCTTTCTTACAACTTATGTTGTGAAAACAGAGCCAAGGACATAACAAAGTGAAAAGAAAAGAGAGATTTGTTGTTAGCAGCCTTCAGCACATAGACAAGTACTTGATAAGTAGTTTCTCAAGCAATAAATACATTCACATGGACTACCCACAAAACAACCATTGCCTGCTCCCTTTATGAGTGACAAAACACTGGGGTATTACAGGCTGTTAACAATCAACAAAGTCATATTCTCATGTTCCCAGTATGACGAAAGGAAAACAACAGAAAACAGTAAAAGCAAATTAAACTTCCCTTTATTGGAATACAGACAAACTGATGTTTACATAGATTTAGTTAAGGAAATTAATAATGCAAATAGGATTGTAAAGAGAGTATTTAAAACTTCTTCAGAAGATAAATTGTTTTCAAACAATAAAATACAATAAACAATTTATTTGAAATTAATTGATGCATTAAATTGAAACTTTTCTCATTTCAATTATTACTAGGAATTATAGTATCACCTTTTGGACAGCTACTAAGTGTGAGTTTATCTTGTGTTTAATTGATAAACATTAAGTAAAACTGAAAAAGCCTTGAATTTGTGAAGATACCATGATTCTAACGTTTACTGGTCAGACTGGCATTCTGTCCATATTATTTACTTATTTCATCTAATAAATATTTAACATCAGCTTTGCATAAGCCTCAATAATAGATTACATAATTTTAAATTATAGCATGGTTCAATTGCATCCACAAATTCTTCTTTGTAATGGAGAAACTTCAAATTTATATTGTGCAATTGTAGAGAGACAATGTATGCAGAAATACAGAATGGATTTTGGACTACATACACTGAGCCTAACAGGCTCCCTGAACTTTCATCTATACCCCAAATTTCTACTTTGGATCATAATATTTCAGGACTATAGACAGGAATTATCATCTCCACAAGAGTAAATTTTGTTGAGACTAGTCATGACAAACAAATCCTGAAGAGTTTGATGTAGAATTCATAATTTTCTTTACTGATTCATAAAACATTTTTTAAATAATAGAATATGACTATCTTGGTTAAATTATCCTAAAAATTTTATTTTATGTTTGTTTGTCAAAGGTTTATCGAAGATATTATAAAATAATATTGAACATTTAGCTATTTTTATTTTCTCATAAATGATATGTTATATGGAAAAACATAATACACCACTATTTTTTCCATTAAACAGTTGTACCAGATTGAAGCATTCATCAGATTATAGTTTGAATGATTGCTAAAGAAACCAACCAAAAAATTTTTATTTATCAAAATATATTTAAACTTCAAGGAAAACATATATACCTACTCCTTGAGATTGGGTCGAGGAAAATGTTTAATGGTACTTCATAGTAATGGGAAAAATGCAGACATCAATCACAGAAGGGGTCAACTTTTATAAAAGCAGAAGTTCTCTCCATTTATTTTATTTATATTTATACTTAACTTGTCTGTATCCAAAAGGGAATTTTATTTTTTCCCATGAATTCGTATACATTAAATCACGTGAGCTAAAAACAGGTTGAAGAAAAAAAATAAATCCACACCTCTGAGGTAGTTATCGGAAGCATAGTCATTAAGTGAAGATTTGATAATTAGTGAAACTGAAGTGTTGAGCAATAGAAAAGTCCTTTAAATAAAATCATAGTATTATAATAGTTAACTTTTGAAGAGCACTTACAATGGTTCATACCACTTTTAAAAATATGTGTGAACACTTTTAACATTTGCTACACACCTATGATTAAAGAACATTATTATTCTCACTTTACAGATGAGTAGAACAAGGCCTAATCATGTTAAACAATTTGTCCATGTTAGTATTAGGTTGGTGCAAAAGTAATTGCAGTTTTTCCATTAAAAGTAATTACTTTTGAAGCTTTTCCACAAAAGTAATTGGAAAAACCAATTAAAAGTAATGGGAAAAACCACAATTACTTTTGGGCCAACCTAATACTTTGGGTAAGTAGTGGAGTCAATACTGAAGCCAGATAACAGGGCTTTCAAATTCAGTCATGTTAATCCTAATCTATGCTTCTATATTAGGTAGATGAGATTAAAAAAAAAAGCTAAAGAAGTTTTTATTTTTAGTCTACACAAAGACAATAAGAAACATAATAAATAATAATGGATGAGGATTAATGGAAAAGGCCGGACTGAGCTAGAGTAAGGCAAACTAGGCACCTAGGGTACAAGAATTAGGAAGGCTCTCGCTGCCACGTTTTTGGAAGAGCTAACGGTGTGTTCTCACAGTGAGACAGAAAGCACTTCTTACATTTCAAATAATTTTATTCATATTGTAAAAATGAAAAAAATTAGTTTAATTTTGTGTTAGCTACCAATTTTGTATCTATTCAACCACTGAACACCTAGGAAACACATTATAAGCTTTTTTTGAGTGCACATTCATTAAATTTCCAAATAAACTTTGCGTACTTTTGTTTATGAATTTACAGCATATTCCCTGACCTGAGAATGACCATTGGTAGGTAATATGCTAAGAAAAGTCTGAAGGAGATACCATTTTTTCCTCACAATGATGAAGGAAAATAAATGATAAAGAGTTAGATCTAGGTGGAAGAAATAAAAGCTACAGAGACAAAGATCAGTCAAGGCAATAGGTCGGATCCCGGTGACTGAAGATCAATGTGTTTGAATACAATCAAGTGCATTATTCATGGTTGATTGCTTTTTCCAAAGAAAGTAGTGACCAGTTTATAGCGGACAGTTGGTAGTGTAGGTAGGATGTGAAGAAACCTCTTTAAATGGAGGTGGGGGTAATATTTTAGGGGTAATGCTCAGCTTTCCCTCAAACAGTATTTAAATATAAATTTAAAATAAATAAAAAGTTGGACCAGGTGCAGTGGCTCACGCCTGTAATCCCAACACTTTGGGAGGCCCGGTGGGCAGGGGGTGGGTGGATCACCTCAGATCAGGAGTTTGAGACCAGACTGACCAACATGGAGAAACCCCGTCTCTACTAAAAATACAAAATTAGCAGGCTGTGGTGGTGTGCACTGTAATCCCAGCTACTTGGGAGGCCGAGGCAGAAGAATCTCTCGAACCTGGGAGGCAGAGGTTGCAGTGAGCCGAGATTGCACCATTGCACTCCAGCCTGGGCAGCAAGAGCGAAACTCCATCTCAAATAAAAAATAAATAAATAAAAAGTTATAACACAGAAAACAAAACAAAAATGAAACACTTTTAGAGCCAAATATAAGCTAATATGAGTGCAATACAAAACACTTGAGAAAAAGCCCTTCAACATGATGGGCTAAAGACTTGTGGAAGATTCTACCCATACATTTTTCTTTTAGGCACATGAATGTAAAGCAAAACATTTTCAGGTTAATCTAATTTGCTTCATAATATATTTTTGGATTAGAAATATTGTTTCATGTAAATTAGTAAGTGCATCTTTGCCTGGTGCCATAATGCTGAAATACCACTTTTTATGGCGTACTTATGTAGTATACACTAGTGAGCTAGAAAGCACCGGAAAAACAAAGAGTTGTCTAAAGAGTGATATAATTTGAAAGCCCTTATAGCAAAAAACTTTAGTGCATAATAACTATTATGAGAAAAGAACGTGTAGATCTAGAATCTGTCCACTTTTTTTTGTATATCTACTGCTATTTCCATGATCCAAGCTGCCATTTGCTTTTGCAGCAACCACTTCTAAACTGGTCTTGTTCTCCTGCAGAGTCTCCCCAGTGAGGAAATCACAATGATCCTGTTTAAATAAAGTTGGGTCATGTTTAGCATCATCTAAAGGATGTCCATCTGATTTGGTATAGAATCCAAGGTCCTTAAATGGTCTACAAGGTCTTCTACTTAAAGCTAGATATCTGACCTCAGCTGATTCAATTTTACCCTCACTCTCTGGATGGTCACACTGACTTCTAGTTCTTACTCAATTGCCCAAAACCTCTTTTACAGTAGAGTCCTTGCACTTGTAGTTCTCTGTGGCTGGGAGAGGCTCCTCCCACAAAATCTACATGGGTTGTTTTCATTCCGTTAGATATCTGCTTAAGTATTATCTCACTTCAGAAATATTTTCTATACTGCCTTTTATGAAATAGCAGCCCCCAGTCTCACTTTCTTATTACCTTTTCCTTACTTTCTTTTTCTCAGAAACCCTTATCATTACCAGACATACTAAATAATATATTATCAGTTCATTTTCTGTCTTCCTCTGTAAACTATCAGAGCTTTAAAATTTTCTGTTTTGTTGATTTATTGAGTTTCAAAAGCCCAGAACATGGCAGTGCCCAAAGTAAGCCCACAAATAATATTCATTGAGATGGGAATGTTTTCAGCTACAAGATAGAAATTGTTCTGCAGTGAGAGAAAATATATTCACATTCTAGGTTAGACAGTGTGGAGATGGGCCAGGCATGGTGGCTCACACTTGTAACACTTTGGGATGCTGAGGTGGGGAAATCACTTGAGCTCAGGAGTTCAAGACCAGCCTGGGCAACATAGTGAGATCCCCATCTCTACAAAAAATACAAAAATTAGCCAGGCATGGTGGCATGCACCTGTAGTCTCAGCATCTTGAAGGGCTGAAGTGGGAGGATCGCTTGAGCCCAGGAGGTCGAGGCTGCAGTGAGCTCAGATCATGCCACTGCACTCCAACCTGGGCAATGGAGTGAGACTGTCTTAAAAAAATAAAAATAAATAAAAATTAAACAAACAATGGGGAGAGTTAGAGAAAGTTGTTCCTGATGGCTTGATTCCTGCTTTCAAGAGTCTTTGGGACCTGAATGAATAGTGTCTGCCTTGCAGTTCTATTTTTCAACTACATGTATCTAGTAGGGTTTAGCTCTTGGCAATAGCTCCCAACAAATGATACTTGACAAGCCTATCTTATGTTTAGGTTTTTTTTTTTTCACTTAATATTAAAGGCTTTCTCACAAATACATACAGAACACTACTAGTTCTAGGGATACTACCCTTCTTTGCTCTACTATGGCCTTTCTTGTTTTTTAGAAAATGCCTATTAGTCAAATAATAAGAGAAATAATAATAGGCAAACAATACACTGCAACGTTTAAGTACTCGGCATTCTTGTTACAGAGACTATCCAGTTTCCACATTTCATATTCAGGTGATGTGCACAGTCCAGGAGGATATTATTTTTTCATAATGTTGGGCTGTTTTATGCATATCAGCATAGATAGGTTAATTATTTTTTCTCATTAATCCATCCATTAATGAAACTTATTTTAGGACGCTTTTGGGATATGTCAAATGTTCATGAGTGGTTGATACTCTTTCTCAGTTGAAGCTGGAGGTAGACTTTTTTTAAGCTTGTTATACTAGTTTTAATGTGTGTCATTTTAAAAGTTTCAAAGAATTCTGCCTCAGTGTATCACTAAAAAAACTCTTGTTTGTAACACACCAAAAGGCTACATTATACATAATGCTAGTATAAAATGAGTAATTTATATGAATAGTTTTATTGGTTCAGTACAAGAAATAGCCACTATAATAAATCCCTTATGCATATAAATATATTTATTATATTTTACATAATTAAAAGAGAAGGAAAGAAGGAAGGCAGGCAGACAGCAAAAAATACTTCAAATCATGATTGATATAGCTAAGATTTGTGATAGTTAATTTATATATAAATGAGCAAGTTAGTTAGCTATCAGCTTATAGCGCTAATTAAGATCATAATAATCATTACTCTTATCACAAGAATAAAGCAAATATTAACTTCTCTGGGAAATGGAAGATATAGCACCTGGTGAAATGTAAATAAATGCATAATCAGGAAAAAACATTACATCAGTGATCATGGGTTTTACTAAACATTATTATCATAGAAAGATTATATATCAGAAATGAGTCCATATTTGTGCTGTTAAAATTCTCTGCAGAAAAACACTTAGCCTGTTTTGGTTGATATCAACTTGATATTTGGTTGATGTAATAAAAGTTGACATTGAAATGTGCTTGGATAATTAGGGAGCATACTATTAAAGTTCATCTGGCACATTAAGGACTATGTCACTTAAAATAATAAAAATTTGAATAGAAAAATGTATACAATTTTAAACTTATTGTTAAAGATATAAATATGAGCATTCAATGTAGTATAAAAATCACTGATAAAACACAAAAAGCTCAACTAGTACATATATGTATGCATTAAGATTGCATTTACCAGTATTAACAGGGACACAAAATGAAGGTGACTTAAACAAGGTAGAGTTTTATTTGTTTGTTTTTCACAAAATATAAAATCTGGGGGAAGCAATCCAAGGCTGGTTGGTCTGATTCCTTCTGGCGGTCAGTTCTATCATCCTAATCCTATGGATTCCATTCAGAAGATGGACTTGTTTTCATAGCATTGCTGCTGGAGCTCTGCTATAGTCTGTAGGTTCCAAAGAAGGAAAGATAGTCCCTCCAAAGGCCCAGATGTATGCGTAGACTTACACAGTAAGCCTGCTTTGTAAAGCTTTCCTGGAAGAGTCGTCACTCAGTGGCTTTTACTGATGCCTCCTCAGCCACCCATTTCTATCAATTTCTAGAAAAATTTAGGCTTTTAGCATTGTTTGTGAGTAAAGACAGTGAGATATTAGGGAGTCAAACAGCAGCCTGTTTTACAATCTGTTACTAAGATCTGTTAACATTAAGAAAACAGTGATGTCATAAGAAGGGATGCCACATCTTCAGTAGTTAAATATCTTATGATAGGAGTTTTCATACACAAGAAACACTTTAAAACATTTTAAATACATAATTTCTATTAGAAAGGTTTTTTCTTTTCTCTCTCTCTCTCTTCCAATTCTTTGGAATTTAAAAAAATTATATTGCTTTCTTCCTCTGTGGTATTTGACAGGTTCTTAGTCTATTTCAAATCTTTTAGTAGTTTCTCATAATTGTTAACAAGTTTTAAAAATATTAAAATGTATGCTTATTTCTAATTTCTTATAAAAGATATTAGAACTTAGAATATTTGAAATTGAGTCTGCATTTTCATCATCCTATATTTTCCCAGTATTCTCCTTCTATATTTATATTTACCGCCCAAATTACTTATTATCATTGCTGCTTTAGATTAAAACCATCAGTTTACATCACCAGTTTTCCACTTTCTTCTTTAATAGGTTTATTTTTCTTTATTTTCTATGTGGCTGCATGTAAGACCCTCTTTATGTTCTTCCATAATTTCAGTGTGATCTATCTCTGTAGATAGTTTTTTTTCCCCTAATTTATTTTACTTGTGGTCTTTTAAAAAATCTGAGGTTTCATGTTTTCAATCAATTCCATAATATTTGGAGACATGTTCTTTTTAATATCCTCTCTCTCCTCTCTATTTTCTTTATCCAGAAAGCCAAATACAGGTGTAGTACCGCTTCATGGTTTATTTTCCATGTGTCTTAAATCCTCGATTTTATATATACATATATATATATATATATATACCTTCTCTCTTTGTATTTCCATGCCCAGGCCCCAGATCCAGGAGTGCAGCATAATGAATAGATGGCATCTGTTGGCTAGCATTGTATTTCTAATGTAAGATTGTGAAATATTGTGTTATGCTGGACCTCTAGACTGGTGTGTCATGCTAATTTTGGGTGACTTTCATTCATGTGAATGTTAGGTGGACATAGGACTAAGAACCTTCACATGCACTGCCCGAAAAATAAAACAAATTCATAATTATCTCTTTTCTACCCCCTCTTCTAAATCTTCATTGATATAATGCTGTGCCTCACATGAGCACCTAAATTTTGTAATATACTTTAATCAAATTACTCATTCCAAAGGCACACCATAGAAAATACCCTCTGAGGCAACACACACCTTAGGATCATCCATGAGAAGACATTCAATTCTTTGTATTTGGGAATCCTTCATGGTAGATGTAGCACTGAATTTCTTACCACTTCAAATGAATCTCAGTCTTCATTGTTAGCATGTAGAGATGTCCTGGGCTTTTCAAAAATTTGTGCAAGTTTTAAAAATAATATTGTCTTTTTTTTTTTTTTTACAGAATCTTAATAGAAGTGTGTGGGTTTATATCATTTTGTTTTAAATCTCTAACTCATATAGAAATTAGAATAATACTTTCTATGTAGTAGGTGCTAGCAAGTTGTTATTGGTATTTAATTGTATTTGATATGGTTAATTTTATAAGTAAACACAATTTCCAAATTTCTATTACAGCCTAATTAAGAGTTTCTAAAGAAAAAGCAATAATTTTCTTTAGTCCCTACAGTATCATTTCCTTAAAATAATGACTAGTAAAGATTTATTGTGTACCTTTTCATAACATTTTAAACAAAAATGTATATATGTAATATTTATATACTATGTGTGTATATCTATCCACATCTGTATTATATCATGTGCATATATTTGCTTTTTCTGTACTTTAAATATGTGCCATCATCTAAATGTGTTTTATTCTGTTAATGAATAATTTTCCTACAGTCAATATACAAATAGTGTTCTTTTTGTTTTATGTTTACTGTTAAACACAATGCTTTGGTAAATACCCTTAAACTTACTAATATCATTACATACTGTTAGTCTAATTTATCAACAGTGTAGATTGCATTACCAGGCCAAAAGTTTCAGGCAATACTTATTTTAATATGTACCATCAGACAATTAGTTTTCTAATATTTTAAGCAACGTGCATCCCCCTAATAAATTTACTGTATTCTCAAGTTTTAACCTAACACAACATTTTCAATATTACAAGAAAGCTCTTAATCCTCAGAAAAATACTTTAGATAAAAATAAATTTAAAGTTTTTGACATAAAGAAACAGCATATAAATCTTGGCTAATGTGTATGTATGTTTTTCTTTTGTTCTTTGCCTAAGAGGATGTAAATTGTACTCAAGACATGTCTCCTAAAGAAATTAGATCATTTATTTGCTATTCTTTTTCAGTTTTATAACTGATAACTACTGGCAGTTGTACCTCTATTTAATTATAATTTATAACAAATAATTATGAAACAAGGGACTTATAATTTTATGTTTCCACATATTTTAAAGCATGTTCTTATAAACATTTAACTTGAGGCATGTGAGAAAGTCATATTAATACATTTTATTCTGGATCTATCAGGGTGAAGTGAGACATTTATGTACATGACATTATTCAGATTATCCTAAAAAATGTGAGATTTTACAAATTCCATCTACTTTGTACTTAATCTTTACTAACAATAATTTTATTATACACTTTTATTATATAGCTTCTTAATTATGCTGTAATTTAACTTCGAAATTGCCAATTGATTAAAGAGACATTTGCTTCAGAGTATTTTTCTTTTTGTCTGATTAAGTAAACTCTTAGCTACTATTATATTGGCCTTTGTCAATAATATAAAAATAAATATTAATTGTGGTAATTTGCACTTGAAATCATTCTGCTAATGCTAATTATAATATAACTATATAACAGCTTCATTCAAATAAACACAGCAGAGAATTGCCTACCGGCAATTATTCTGGAAATATTATTTCTTTATCATTATCATGATGATCATCTAAGTTTATAAACTAATTTCATGTATTTTTATGTAATTTGATTTATGTATCAACTGAGTGGGATTGAATGGCCAAGTGTCCCTATTTTCTGTACTTAAGAAACAGCCTCACAGAGATTGACTTGGATCTGAGGATACAGTAATAAGAGACAGAACCAGAAAGACAGCCTGAGTCAGCCTAATAATTGTTACTGTCAAGTACTGTACATATCCAGAATTTGATGTGTTATCTTAGTCAATTACAGTAAACTGCTACGACAGGAATATCCTCATTTTATAAATCAGGAAATTAATTTTCTCTGAGTCACACAGTTAACACATGGCAGTTTCTGGGTGTAATTCCAAGGTTGCCTCATATTTTGCAGATTCTTTTCCCATTAAGTCACATAGACTATAGCTTCAAGATGAGCTTATTCCCAAGTAAATATCACGTGCACTTTCGTTTCAAAGCACAGTGCTTTGAGGTAACTGCAGTTACAAGGCTATAATCCATGAAAATTAAGAGAAGTTGTCTTAATAACTATTCTGTACAACTTTTAAAAAGTAATAGGAAATAAAAGGGAAAAAATAACTTTAGGTAATGGAAAGAAATTAGAAACCCTGGCCACAAAAAGACGTGTGGTATATTAATACTGCCACTACCTGGCAAACAGATTTGAAAATTATTGTGTTATTACTAGAACAAATTGTTCTGGTGAAGTTGTCTTCAAAAGACCAACAAGAGATTACTGGTTTTTGAAAGAAACAAAGACTTACTGCCTTAGACTGTTACTTGATGGGTAAATTACTATAGGGTTTACACAAAACTTTAAAAAAATATATCATTGTGATAACTCTTTCACAGGAATCCAGGGAAGCTGATAAACAGGAACCATCATGATCTATTGCCTTACAGACGTGGAAATAGACATAATTTCACACCTCACGGCAGAGCTGAACATGAGAGATAAATGATTCGTAGACAGTGCTAAAAAATTTACATACTTGGTTATGCCTAAGAAAATAAAGCAATTAGTTCTGTAGATTTGTTACTACATGTGCCTTGGTGGTGGCAACTAAAGATTAACTTAAAAAAAAAATTCACCAGAGGGCACCAAAGAGAAAGATTCAGCTCCTAAAAAAGTCTGGTCGCGCGCACACACACACACACACACACACACACACACACACACAATTGAAGAGGCAGCTAATAATTTGGACAAATATCTGAGGTTGTTTTATGGATGTGTAAATATATAAATGCATTAGAAAGTCAAGAAATCAGAGAAATCACACACAGACAAGAATATGGAAATATGCTCAACATCACTAATCATCAGGAAAATGCAAATCAATACCACAAGTATCACCTCACATCTGTTAGAGTGGCCACAATCAGGTAAACAGAAAATAGCAAGTGTTAAGAGGATGTGAAGTAACTGGAACAGTTGTATATTTTGGGTGGTAATACCAATTGGTAGAGCCACTTATAAAAAACACTTTGGGGATGCCTCAAAAAATAGAGTTACCATATCCAGTAATCCCACTTCTGGTTATATATTCAAAAGTGTTGAAAACAGGATATTGAAGAGATATTTACTCACTCATGTTTATTATAATATGATTCACAATAGTCAAGATGTAAAGGAAACCTTAATGTCCATCAGCAGATGGATGGAAAAAGGAAATGTATATACATACAACAGATGATTATTCAGGGTTAAAATGAAGAAAATCTTATCATGTCCTACAGCCAGCATGAACTTTGTGTTGTAGAATATGCTAGGAGGAATAAACTAGTCACAAAAACACAACTACAGGATTCCCCTTCTCGAAGTATCTAAAGTAGTCAAATTCTGAGAAACTGAAAGTAGAATGGTTATTACCATGGACAAGGAGAAGGCAAAAAAAAAAAAAAAAGTGGGCACAGAGTTTTAGTTCTGCAAAATAAAAAAGTTCTAGAGATCCGTTGCACAAAATGTGCATATAGTTAATAACACTATGCATCTTTAAAATGGTTAAGATCATAAGTTTTAAAAAATTATTATTTTATTTTAAATTCAGGGCATACAATTGAAGATTTTTTACATGGGTATGTTTCAAGATGCTGAGGTTTGGAATATGATTTATTTCGTGATTCTGTCATCCAGCTAGTGAGCATAGTACCAGGTAGAGAGTTTTTCAGCCCATGACTCCCCCCATCTTCTATGAGTACCAGATTTCTATTGTTCCTGTCTTTATGTACATGTGTTTAGTTCTCACCTAAAAGTGACAACATGTGGCATTTGGTGTTCTGTCCCCATGATAATTCACTTAGGATAATGGTCTCCAGCTGCAACCCCGTTACTGCAAGGACATTTTTTGTGCTTTATTATGGCTCTGTAGTGTTCCATGGTGTATATGTACCAAGTTTTCTTTATTTAATCCACCATTGATGGGAACCTAGGTTGATTCCATGTCTTTGCTATTGTGAATAGTGCTGTTATTTTTTAACTTTTTAAAAACAGCCATTCTGACTGGTGTGAGATGGTAACCCATTGTGGTTTTAATTTTTATTTCTCTAATGATTACTGATGTTGACCATTTTTTAATGTGCTTGCTGGATGCTCATATGTTTTCTTTTGAAAAGTGTTCATGTCCTTTGCCCTTTTTCTAATGTTTTTTTTTTTCTTGTTGATTTAAGTTCCTTATAGTTTCTGGATATTAGACCTTCATTGGATACATTGTTTGTGAATATTTCCTCCTATACTGGAGGTTGTCTGTTTACTCTGCTGGTTGTTATTTTGCTTTGCAGAAGCCCTTTAGTTTAAATTAGTTCCCACCTGTCAGGTTTTATTTTTACTGGAATTGCTTTTAGGGACTCTGCCATAAATTCTTTACTAAGTCAAAATTGAGAAGGATATTTCTGAGGTTTTCTTCTAATATTTTCATAGTTCGAGGTCTTACATTTAATTGTTTAATCCACCTCAAGTTATTTTTTTGTAAGTGAAAGGTAGGGGTCCTGTTTCTTTCTTCTGCATATGGCTAGCCAGCTATCTAAGTACCATTTATTGACTAAACATGTCTTTTCCCTATGGCTTGTTTTTGTCAGCTTTGTTGAAGATCAGATGGCTGTAAGTGTGTGGCTTAATTTCTGGGCTCTCTAACCTGTTCTACTGATCTATGTGTCTTTTTTTTCTTTTTTTTTTTTTTTTCCAGTACCATGCTGTTTTGGTTACGCTAGCCTTATAGTATAGTTTGAAGTCAGGTAGTGTAATGCCTCTGGTTTTGTTCTTTTTGCTTAGGACTGCTTTGGTTATTAAGGCTCTTTTCTGGTTCCATATAAATTTTAGCATTTTTTAAAATTTTTTGAAAAAGGATGTTGGTAATTTTATAGAAATAGTGTTGAATCTATAGATTGCTTTGGGCAATATGGTCATTTTAAAAATACTGATTCTTCCAAACCATGAGCATGTAATGTTTTTCCATTTATTTGTGTCTTCTCTCATTTTTTTAAGTCATGTTTTGTAGTTCTCTTTCTAGAGATCTTTCACCTCCTTGGTTAGCTGTATTCTAAGGTATTTCATATTTTTTTGTGGCTATTGTAAATGGGATTGTGTTCTCAATTTGGCTCTCAAGTAGAATGTTATTGATGTATAGAAATGCTACTGATTTTTGCATATTTATTCTGTATCCCGAAACTTTCCAGAAGTCATTTATCAGTTCTAGGAACCATTTGGCAGAGTCTTTAGGGTTTTCTAGGTATAGAATTCTATTGTCAGAAAAGAGAGATAGTTTGAATTATTTTTAAAATTATTATTTGGATGCCTTTTGTTTATTTCTATTGCCTGATTGCTCTACTTAGAACTTCCAGTACTATGTTGAATAGGAGTGGTAAGAGTGGGTATCATTGTTTTGTTTAGTTCTCAGGTGAAAAGCTTCCAGCTTTTGCACATTCAACGTGATATTAGCCGTGGGATTGTCATAGATGTATCTTACTATTTTGAGGTATGTTCCTCTGATGCCTAGCCTGTTGAGGGTTTTTTATCATAAAGGGATGTTGGATATTATCAAATGCTTTTTCGTGCTTATCGAGATGATCATATGATTTTTGTTTTAAATTCTGTTTATGTGGTTAATCACATTTATTGATTTCCATATATCAAACCAATCTCAAATCCCAGGAATAAACTCTACTCGATTGTGGTGAATTAACTTTTTGAGGTTTTGCTAGATTCCATTCCCTTGTATTTTGCTGAAGATTTTTGAGTTGATGTTCATAAGCAATATTGCCCTGTTGTTTTCTTTTCTCATTGTTTCTCTACCAGGTGTAGTATCAGGCTTATGCTGGCCTCATAGAATTAGCTAAGGAGTAGCCTCCCTACCTCTACTTTTTGGAAAAATGTCACTATAATTAGTACCAGTTCTTCTTTGTATGTCTGGTAGAATTCTGCTGTGAATCCATCTAGTCCAGGACTTTTTTTCTTTTTTTTCTTTTTTTTTTTTTTTTTTTTTTTTAGATATTAGAAAATATTTTAATAAATTGAGTGGATTTCACACGCTAAGGAAATGATCTTACTTGCATTTGATAGTTCCATTACATACATATATACCTATAGGTAGTTTAAAATATTTCTAATAACCTTATATGCTTTTAATTTTTTTTTTAGATATTAGAAAATATTTTAATAAATTGAGTGGATTTCACACGCTAAGGAAATGATCTTACTTGCATTTGATAGTTCAGTTACATACATATATACCTATAGGTAGTTTAAAATATTTCTAATAAGCTTACATACTTTTAATTTTTTTTTAAGCTGTCAAACATTTTTATTCTACATTAAGACATACATTTTATATTATGGCCCAGCACACACATACATATATGTGTACATAACTAATTTTAAAAATTATGAAACAATACTTACACTTAATTTCTGAAATGAATATTTTCTACTCTATTTACTTTTTTATTTTATTTATTTTATTTTTTTATTTTATTTTATTTTATTTTTTTATTATACTTTAAGTTTTAGGGTACATGTGCACATTGTGCAGGTTAGTTACATATGTATACATGTGCCATGCTAGTGCGCTGCACCCACTAACTCGTCATCTAGCATTAGGTATATCTCCCAATGCTATCCCTCCCCCCTACCCCCACCGCACCACAGTCCCCAGAGTGTGATATTCCCCTTCCTGTGTCCATGTGATCTCATTGTTCAATTCCCACCTATGAGTGAGAATATGTGGTGTTTGGTTTTTTGTTCTTGCGATAGTTTACTGAGAATGATGATTTCCAATTTCATCCATGTCCCTACAAAGGACATGAACTCATCATTTTTTATGGCTGCATAGTATTCCATGGTGTATATGTGCCACATTTTCTTAATCCAGTCTATCATTGTTGGACATTTGGGTTGGTTCCAAGTCTTTGCTATTGTGAATAATGCCGCAATAAACATACGTGTGCATGTGTCTTTATAGCAGCATGATTTATAGTCCTTTGGGTATATACCCAGTAAAGGGATGGCTGGGTCAAATGGTATTTCCAGTTCTAGATCCCTGAGGAATCGCCACACTGACTTCCACAATGGTTGAACTAGTTTACAGTCCCACCAACAGTGTAAAAGTGTTCCTATTTCTCCACATCCTCTCCAGCACCTGTTGTTTCCTGACTTTTTAATGATTGCCATTCTAACTGGTGTGAGATGGTATCTCATTGTGGTTTTGATTTGCATTTCTCTGATGGCCAGTGATGATGAGCATTTTTTCATGTGTTTTTTGGCTGCATAAATGTCTTCTTTTGAGAAGTGTCTGTTCATGTCCTTCGCCCACTTTTTGATGGGGTTGTTTGTTTTTTTCTTGTAAATTTGTTGGAGTTCATTGTAGATTCTGGATATTAGCCCTTTGTCAGATGAGTAGGTTGTGAAAATTTTCTCCCATTTTGTAGGTTGCCTGTTCACTCTGATGGTAGTTTCTTTTGCTGTGCAGAAGCTCTTTAGTTTAATTAGATCCCATTTGTCAATCTTGGCTTTTGTTGCCATTGCTTTTGGTGTTTTGGACATGAAGTCCTTGCCCATGCCTATGTCCTGAATGGTAATGCCTAGGTTTTCTTCCAGGGTTTTTATGGTTTTAGGTCTAACGTTTAAATCTTTAGTCCATCTTGAATTGATTTTTGTATAAGGTGTAAGGAAGGGATCCAGTTTCAGCTTTCTACATATGGTTAGCCAGTTTTCCCAGCACCATTTATTAAATAGGGAATCCTTTCCCCATTGCTTGTTTTTCTCAGGTTTGTCAAAGATCAGATAGTTGTAGATATGTGGCATTATTTCTGAGGGCTCTGTTCTGTTCCATTGATCTATATCTCTGTTTTGGTACCAGTACCATGCTGTTTTGGTTACTGTAGCCTTGTAGTATAGTTTGAAGTCAGGTAGTGTGATGCCTCCAGTTTTGTTCTTTTGGCTTAGGATTACCTTGGCGATGCGGGCTCTTTTTTGGTTCCATATGAACTTTAAAGTAGTTTTTTCCAATTCTGTGAAGAAAGTCATTGGTAGCTTGATGGGGATGGCATTGAATCTATAAATTACCTTGGGCAGTATGGCCATTTTCACGATATTGATTCTTCCTACCCATGAGCATGGAATGTTCTTCCATTTCTTTGTATCCTCTTTTATTTCCTTGAGCAGTGGTTTGTAGTTCTCCTTGAAGAGGTCCTTCACATCCCTTGTAAGTTGGATTCCTAGGTATTTTATTCTCTTTGAAGCAATTGTGAATGGGAGTTCAGTCATGATTTGGCTCTCTGTTTGTCTGTTGTTGGTGTATAAGAATGCTTGTGATTTTTGTACATTGATTTTGTATCCTGAGACTTTGCTGAAGTTGCTTATCAGCTTAAGGAGATTTTGGGCTGAGACAGTGGGGTTTTCTAGATATACAATCATGTCATCTGCAAACAGGGACAATTTGACTTCCTCTTTTCCTAATTGAATACCCTTTATTTCCTTCTCCTGCCTAATTGCCCTGGCCAGATCTTCCAACACTATGTTGAATAGGAGTGGTGAGAGAGGGCATCCCTGTCTTGTGCCAGTTTTCAAAGGGAATGCTTCCAGTTTTTGCCCATTCAGTATGATATTGGCTGTGGGTTTGTCATAGATAGCTCTTATTATTTTGAAATATGTCCCATCAATACCTAATTTATTGAGAGTTTTTAGCATGAAGGGTTGTTGAATTTTGTCAAAGG
The DNA here is from genome assembly GCF_000001405.40 of Homo sapiens. Classification (NCBI taxonomy): domain Eukaryota; kingdom Metazoa; phylum Chordata; class Mammalia; order Primates; family Hominidae; genus Homo; species Homo sapiens. The sequence continues at coordinate 31,297,861 of NC_000009.12, read as the reverse complement.
CCTTTTCTGCATCTATTGAGATAATCATGTGGTTTTTGTCTTTGGCTCTGTTTATATGCTGGATTACATTTATTGATTTGCATATATTGAACCAGCCTTGCATCCCAGGGATGAAGCCCACTTGATCATGGTGGATAAGCTTTTTGATGTGCTGCTGGATTCATTTTGCCAGTATTTTATTGAGGATTTTTGCCATCAATGTTCATCAAGGATATTGGTCTAAAATTCTCTTTTTTGGTTGTGTCTCTTCCCGGCTTTGGTATCAGAATGATGCTGGCCTCCTAAAATGAGTTAGGGAGGATTCCCTCTTTTTCTATTGATTGGAATAGTTTCAGAAGGAATGGTACCAGTTCCTCCTTGTACCTCTGGTAGAATTCGGCTGTGAATCCATCTGGTCCTGGACTCTTTTTGGTTGGTAAACTATTGATTATTACCACAATTTCAGCTCCTGTTATTGGTCTATTCAGAGATTCAGCTTCTTCCTGGTTTAGTCTTGGGAGAGTGTATGTGTCAAGGAATTTATCCATTTCTTCTAGATTTTCTAGTTTATTTGCGTAGAGGTGTTTGTAGTATTCTCTGATGGTAGTTTGTATTTCTGTGGGATCGGTGGTGATATCCCCTTTATCATTTTTTATTGTGTCTATTTGATTCTTCTCTCTTTTCTTCTTTATTAGTCTTGCTAGCAGTCTATCAATTTTGTTGATCTTTTCAAAAAACCAGCTCCTGGATTCATTAATTTTTTGAAGGGTTTTTTGTGTCTCTATTTCCTTCAGTTCTGCTCTGATTTTAGTTATTTCTTGCCTTCTGCTAGCTTTTGAATGTGTTTGCTCTTGCTTTTCTAGTTCTTTTAATTGTGATGTTAGGATGTCAATTTTGGATCTTTCCTGCTTTCTCTTGTGGGCATTTAGTGCTATAAATTTCCCTCTACACACTGCTTTGAATGCGTCCCAGAGATTCTGGTATGTTGTGTCTTTGTTCTCGTTGGTTTCAAAGAACATCTTTATTTCTGCCTTCATTTCGTTATGTACCCAGTAGTCATTCAGGAGCAGGTTGTTCAGTTTCCATGTAGTTGAGCGGTTTTGAGTGAGATTCTTAATCCTGAGTTCTAGTTTGATTGCACTGTGGTCTGAGGGATAGTTTGTTATAATCTCTGTTCTTTTACATTTGCTGAGGAGAGCTTTACTTCCAAGTATGTGGTCAATTTTGGAATAGGTGTGGTGTGGTGGTGAAAAAAATGTATATTCTGTTGATTTGGGGTGGAGAGTTCTGTAGATGTCTATTAGGTCCGCTTGGTGCAGAGCTGAGTTCAATTCCTGGGTATCCTTGTTGACTTTCTGTCTCGTTGATCTGTCTAATGTTGACAGTGGGGTGTTAAAGTCTCCCATTATTAATGTGTGGGGGTCTAAGTCTCTTTGTAGGTCACTCAGGACTTGCTTTATGAATCTGGGTGCTCCTGTATTGGGTGCATATATATTTAGGATAGTTAGCTCTTCTTGTTGAATTGATCCCTTTACCATTATGTAATGGCCTTCTTTGTCTCTTTTGTTCTTTGTTGGTTTAAAGTCTGTTTTATCAGAGACTAGGATTGCAACCCCTGCCTTTTTTTGTTTTCCATTTGCTTGGTAGATCTTCCTTCATCCTTTTATTTTGAGCCTATGTGTGTCTCTGCATGTGAGATGGGTTTCCTGAATACAGCACACTGATGGGTCTTGACTCTTTATCCAGTTTGCCAGTCTGTGTGTTTTAATTGGAGCATTTAGTCCATTTACATTTAAAGTTAATATTGTTATGTGTGAATTTGATCCTGTCATTATGATGTTAGCTGGTGATTTTGCTCGTTAGTTGATGCAGTTTCTTCCTAGTCTCGATGGTCTTTACATTTTGGCATGATTTTGCAGCGGCTGGTACTGGTTGTTCCTTTCCATGTGTAGTGCTTCCTTCAGGAGCTCTTTTAGGGCAGGCCTGGTGGTGACAAAATCTTTCAGCATTTGCTTGTCTGTAAAGTATTTTATTTCTCCTTCACTTATGAAGCTTAGTTTGGCTGGATATGAAATTCTGGGTTGAAAATTCTTTTCTTTAAGAATGTTGAATATTGGCCCCCACTCTCTTCTGGCTTGTAGTGTTTCTGCTGAGAGATCCGCTGTTAGTCTGATGGGCTTCCCTTTGTGGGTAACCCGACCTTTCTCTCTGGCTGCCCTTAACATTTTTTCCTTCATTTCAACGTTGGTGAATCTGACAATTATGTGTCTTGGAGTTGCTCTTCTCGAGGAGTATCTTTGTGGCGTTCTCTGTATTTCCTGAATCTGAACGTTGGCCTGCCTTGCTAGATTGGGGAAGTTCTCCTGGATAATATCCTGCAGAGTGTTTTCCAACTTGGTTCCATTCTCCCCATCACTTTCAGGTACACCAATCACACATAGATTTGGTCTTTTCACATAGTCCCATATTTCTTGGAGGCTTTGCTCATTTCTTTTCATTCTTTTTTCTCTAAACTTCCCGTCTCGATTCATTTTATTCATTTCATCTTCCATTGCTGATACCCTTTCTTCCAGTTGATCGCATCGGCTCCTGAGGCTTCTGCATTCTTCAGGTAGTTCTCGAGCCTTGGTTTTCAGCTCCATCAGCTCCTTTAAGCACTTCTCTGTATTGGTTATTCTAGTTATACATTCTTCTAAAGTTTTTTCAAAGTTTTCAACTTCTTTGCCTTTGGTTTGAATGTCCTCCCGTAGCTCAGAGTAATTTGATCGTCTGAAGTCTTCTTCTCTCAGCTCGTCAAAGTCATTCTCCATCCAGCTTTGTTCCACTGCTGGTGAGGAATTGCGTTCCTTTGGAGGAGGAGAGGCGCTCTGTGTTTTAGAGTTTCCAGTTTTTCTGTTCTGTTTTTTCCCCATCTTTGTGGTTTTATGTACTTTTGGTCTTTGATGATGGTGATGTACAGATGGGTTTTTGGTGTGGATGTCCTTTCTGTTTGTTAGTTTTCCTTCTAACAGACAGCACCCTCAGCTGCAGGTCTTTTGAAATACCCTGCTGTGTGAGGTGTCAGTGTGCCCCTGCTGGGGGGTGCCTCTCAGTTAGCTGCTCGGGGGTCAGGGGTCAGGGACCCACTTGAGGAAGCAGTCTGCCCATTCTCAGATCTCCAGCTGTGTGCTGGGAGAACCACAGCTCTCTTCAAAGCTGTCAGACAGGGACATTTAAGTCTGCAGAGGTTACTGCTGTCTTTTTGTTTGTCTGTGCCCTGCCCCCAGAGGTGGAGCCTACAGAGGCAGGCAGGCCTCCTTGAGCTGTGGTGGGCTCCACCCAGTTCGAGCTTCCTGGCTGCTTTGTTTACCTAAGCAAGCCTGGGCAATGGCGGGCGCCCCTCCCCCAGCCTCGCTGCCGCCTTGCAGTTTGATCTCAGACTGCTGTGCTAGCAATCAGCGAGACTCCGTGGGCGTAGGACCCTCCGAGCCAGGTGCGGGATATAATCTCTTGGTGCGCCGTTTTTTAAGCTGGTCCGAAAAGCGCAATATTCGGGTGGGAGTGACCCGATTTTCCAGGTGCGTCCTTCACCCCTTTCTTTGACTCGGAAAGGGAACTCCCTGACCCCTTGTGCTTCCCAAGTGAGGCAATGCCTCGCCCTGCTTGGGCTCGCACACGGTGCGTGCACCCACTGACCTGCGCCCACTGTCTGGCACTCCCTAGTGAGATGAACCTGGTACCTCAGATGGAAATGCAGAAATCACCCGTCTTCTGCGTCGCTCACGCTGGGAGCTGTAGACTGGAGCTGTTCCTATTTGGCCATCTTGGCTCCTCCCCCAACTTTTTTTCAATGTTAGATGTTTTAAATTACTGATTCAATTTTAGAAGAGGTTATTGGTTTATTCAGGTTTTCATTATCATCCTAGATCGTTGTTGAAAGATTGCATGTTTCCAGGAATGTATCAATTTCCTCTAGATTTTCTTCCTTGTGTGCATAGAAGTGGTCATAATTGTCTCTGAGGATCTTTTGTATTTCTGTGGGAAGAATCATAATGTCATCTTTTTCATGTTTGATTGTACTTATTTGGATCTTCCCTTTTTTCTTTGTTAATCTAATGAGTTGGTTATTAATCTTTGTTTATTCTTTTGAAGAACCAACTCTTGGTTTCACTGATCTTTGGCATAGATTTATTTTGTCAGTATTTTGGTCAGCTCTTCTCTGATTTTATCTATTTCTTTTCTTCTCAGTTTTGGAATTGGTTTATTTGTTTGTTTCTAGTTTCTTTAGGTGTGATGTTATATTGTTAATTGGCAATCTTTATAACTTCTTGATGAAGATGTTGAGAGCTATAAATTTTTACCTAAATACTTCTTTAGCTGCATCCCAAACATTTTGGAGAATTGTGTCTATATTTTCATTAATTTCAAATTTTTTTTATTTCTGCCTTAATTTTCTTGTTCACCCAAGAGTTATTCAGGAGCAGTTTGTTTAATTTCTATGTATTTGCATTGTTTGGAAAGATGTATTGGTTTCTACTCTTTTTTTTTTTTTTTTTTTTTTTGCACTGTGGTGCAAAAATGTGCCTGATATGATTTCACCTTTTTTGAATTTATTGAGACTTTCTATAACTGAGCATGTGATTGATATTAAAACATATTCCTTGTGCAGATGAGAAGAATGTTTATTTTGTGGTTATTGGGTTGAGTATTCTGTAGATGTCTGTTAGGTCAGATTGGCCAAGTGTTGAGTTTAAGTCCAGAATTTCTTCATTAGTTTTTTGCCTTGATAATCTGTCTAAAGCTGTCAGTGGGGTTTTGAAGTCTCCCACAATTATTGTGTAGCTGTTTTAGTTATTTTGCTTTTTCTTAACCTAATCTCAAATGTAATAGTAGCTGTCTAAGTTTTCGTAAGGTAAAGAACTTGATTTATGAATCTGGGTGCTCCAAGGTTGGGTGCATATAGTATAAGGTTAGTTAAGTATTCTTGTTGAATTGAACCCTGTATTTATTATGTAATGCCCTTCTTATTTTTCTTGATTGTTTTTGGTTTAAAGCCTCTTTTATCTCATAGCAACTGCAACTCCTGCTCTTTTCTGTTTTCCATTTGCATGATAGATCCTTTTTCTTTGTGTGGGTGGGTGTCAGTACACGTGAGATGGGTCTTTTAAAGATGGCAGACAGTTGGCTCTTATCTTTTTATCCAACATGCCACTCTGTGCCTTTTAGGTGGGGCTTTTATACTGTTTACATTCACAGTTAGTATTGATATGTGACATTTTGAACGTGTCATCATCTTGTTAGCTGGTTGTTTTGCAGACTTGATTGTGTAGTTGCTTCATAGTGTCTGTGGACTATGTGTTTATGTGTGCTTTTGTGGTAGAAGTTATTGTTGTTTTATGTCCATGTTTAAGGCTGGTCTAGTGGTAAGGAATTCCATTAGCATTTGTTTGTTTGAAAATAATTTGATCTCTCCTTCACTTATGAAGCTTAGTTTGGTGGGATACAAAATTCTTGGTTGGAATATATTTTCTTTAAGGTTGCTGAAAATGGGCCTTCAATGTTTTCTGGCTTGTATAGTTTCTGCTGGGAGGTCCACTGTTAGCCTGATAGGGTTCCCTTTGTAAGTGACCTACCCTTTCACTCTAGCTGCCTTTAGATTTTTTTTCTTTGCATTGACCTATGTGTAGCTGATGACTATGTGCCTTACAGATGGTCACCTGCTATGGTATCATCTCACAGTGGTTTTCTGTATTTGTTGAATTTGCATGTCAACCTCTAGTGATATTGGGAAAATCTTCATGGACTGTATCCTCAAATATATTTTCTTAGTTGCTTATTCTCTGTCTTTCTCAAGAATGCCAATGAGTCATAGGTTTATTCTCTTTACATAATCCCATATTTTTGGATGTTTTGTTTATTTTTTAAAATTCTTCTTAAAATTTTTGTCTCACTAAATTGACCCAAAAAACTGGTCTTTGAGCTTGGATATTCTTTCCTCAGGATGGTCTATTCTGCTATTAATACATCCAATTTCAGTAAAATAAAATTCTTATAGTGAATTTTTCCATGCCAGAAATTATTCTGTTCTTTCTTAAAATGGCTATTTTATCTTTCAGATCTTGAATTATTTTACTGGATTCCTTGTATTGGGTTTCAACATTCTGAATCTCAATGAGCTTCCTTGCCATTCAGATTCTAAATTCTCTGTCTGTAATTTTAACCATTTCAATCTGGTTTGAAACCATTGTTGGGGAGCTAGTGTGCTTGTTTGAAGGTAAGGGAACAGTCTGACTTTCTGAATTTCTAGATTTCTTGTGCTGATTTTCTGATATGAGAGGTTTAGTGTTCCTTTAACTGGGGTGTAAATTGAGTACAGTCAATTGGCTTTTATTTCTGGGTGTTTTGAGAGGGTCATGACTTTGTACAGGATCTTTGTGGTGGCTACATTCTTGTCGTGGGTTTCACAGGTGATGTATATTGGCAAAATACTTTTGTGTTATAATTTGGACTGAGAGCCAGGAGATAAACTGTTAGGTGGTGCCTTAGAGTAATGGCTAGCAGATGCGCCCTTACTCAGCCACATAGCTCTTTTGTATTTTAGCACATTTGCAGCAGTGCTCTGTGGTGATAGAGGAGAGAGAGAGAATTCTCTCACTAGGTCCCTTCATGGGCCTTGGAGAGCCACCCCTGATCACTGGCGCTACACCCACATTTTCTTTGTTATGGGTTTTGGGCCATGGAACTCCCTCTGGCAGAGGCTACGGCTGGCATACAGGCCACACTCTTCCTAGACCAGCCCTGTACAGGAAGGTCCACAAGCTCACTAGCTCCTGCACTGGCCCATAAGTCCACCTGTGTCACCCCTCTCGGTGTTCTGAGAGTCGGGGCTCCTCCTCTGATCAACTTCTAGCCACAGATCTCTGCTCAGCACTCCTGAACTGCAAGTTGCTGCCCTGGGGCATTGGGACCCACCAGTGGCTTCATCCTCCAGCTCCTTGGGGTTGTGTACCAGTTGCACTGGGGATTGGATGTGTTCCCAGGCCACCGGGAAGTACTTAGGTGGGGCTCCCAGAAAGCACCAAGGCTGGACAATGGGGGCTGCAGTCTGTACACATTCCTGCAGGAGTGGCCAGGAAGGGACCCTAGGAGAGGCTAGCCAGCAGGAGAGCCTGCAGAACAGATATGCCCCAGTTCTTTTTGAAAGTCAACCCTGTTCTCTCTTGGTTTTGTGGTCAGTTTGGGTTAGAGCAACTCGGGGGAAGATGAGGAGCCTTGGGGAATAGGCACCTATGGCAGCATTCCACGGCAGCTGTCCTGCATGCAAAACCCCATGGGATCCATACAGGTTGGAGCTCTGTCTGCCTATTGTCTGAGCAGATATACCTGCTATTTCAACTGTGTATGAGGCTCATGGGATCTCTTGTAGCTAGGATCCAAGAGGTCTGCCACTAGAGTGGTCTGCCCCACCATCCTTTCACTCACCCCTTCCCTGGGAGCCCTTCAGTGGCCGGAATAAGCCTTGTCATTCAGCAACCCTGTGCAAACTTCCTAGCTTTCCCTCTTTTTCCTGGATGTCTGTGTCACCTCTCTGTGTTTTCCCTCCAAGTTCTGTTTAGAGTAAGTCGATTTATTCCATGGTCTCTCTCAGTGGGAGCAGTGCTTCCTAGCTGTGTGTAGTTGGCCATCTTGTTTCTGAAAAATCAAGATGGTAAGTTTTATACTATGTGTTGTTGAACACAGTAAAAACAAAGCACATGTTTGAAAAGGAAGACAAAATAAATCAGTAAGGAAGTGATTTGGGGGAAACCAAGGCACCAAATTTCCTGATAAAACAAATTCAAGTACAACGAATGTTGTTAATAATAATAAACATTACTAACTACTAGATTCTATTGTCACTTCTTGTAATAGTAGCTTCAATATGCCAACATATAATGGAGAGCAACACACTCTAAAAATAAAAATATTATTGGAAAACAAGCAAAAAAATCTGTAAGATTATCAAAAGCAGATCAACACTGAAAGGAGTACAAAAGCTACTTTCCAGAATGAAGAAACTTTATTCTAATTATTCAGAATTTCAGGAAGAAATGAATAATAAGAAAAAGGCATATATGTGGGAAGATCTAAATTTAATATTAAATCCATAAGATAACATTATGATTATTGATTTTATAAAATAATCTTATGAATATTGACTATAAAATATGACTATATAAAATATAACTGTATGCAATTATGTTATGAATATTCACTTTATAAAACAATAATAATGTTATTAAAAATACTACATGCATCAGGATGAATAACTAGATATAAGTGAGGTAAGTTCATAAATTATATGGGAAGTATGAAAGTACTAATTAATATTATATAATAAAAAGTAAAAAAATTCATGATGAAGTTTTATAGGATAAGCATGAAAAGTTATTGCTAAGCTTTGTAGACCTGTGGGTTGATGTCTTTCTTTGCTTTAGAAATATCTATGGCTATTGTATCTTCAACAATTTCTTCTGCTTTATTCTGTCTCTTCTCCTTTTGGAACTCTAATTACACATATTATTAAGTGTTTGATATTTCACAGAACCTGTATGCCATTTCCCTTTCTTCTTTTTTTTTTCTAATTTGTGTTTTAGTTTGAATAATTGCTGTTGACTCATAATTTCTTTTGGTTATGAGTCCAGTCTGCTAAGTCAATAATTAATTTTTCATTTATGTTATCTCATTTTTTATTTCTCATGTTTCCATTAAAAAATTTCCATCTCTAGACTGAAAATTTCCATCTCTTAACCCATATTATCTGCCTTTCCCCCAAGTTCATCTAACCTATGTATTAGACTTAAATTCCCTCATTGACCCTTCAAACATCTGAGCCATTTATGAGTTTGTTTGTTTTCTGGTACCTCTCTTGTCAGTGAGTTCTAGTTTCTCACTTCTTCACGTCTCTTACTTTGTGACTGAATGGCAGACGTTGCATGACAAAAACATTGACTGAAATAAATAATTTTTTTTTCCCCCACAAAAAATACTTACGTCTTCTTTCAGGCCCGTGGTGTATTGGGAATAGGTGATTTGAGTCAGCTTCATCTTTCTTTCCACTGATCTGGACATTTCTGTTGCTTTATTTAGATTCAATTTGGTATCATCTTGGAATAATTTGAGGACAGGATTGCAAGCCTCCTTTTAGCATTTATGGAATCTAAGAGCATGGAGCTGTTGTACTGGTCTTCCTGCCCTGCTGTTAGCCTCCTAAAAGGACCAACAGACCTGCACCAAATGGATATACTGTATATAAATTATTTTCCGTTCCCCACTATCAGGCAACTGCTGCTTCATGGTCAGTTTAGGAGCCTGATTTCTTCTATGGCTTCTCTACCTCTTTCTGTTGAGATTTGGACTTCAGCACACCCTGCATTCCTGTACATGGGGACAGAAAAGAGGAAAGTCTCCTGGGATATGTTTGTGTGTTTGTTTTTTAACCTATCATATTATTTCTTGCTTTCTGTTTGTCTTGCCTGTTCTGTTACATTTTTTCTCTTCTTTTTTTTTGACTTGATTGGTGTTATTTTTAATTCAGTTTATTACCATCTATTAGCTTAATAGTTATACATTATCAACTTTTATTTTAGTAAATTTTCTATAAATTTTGTCATAGATCCCTTACATCTTGATGTCTAATATTAATTAGAACTTTAATCATTTCCCACACAATTCATAATCCTTAGGACAATTAAATCCACTTTCCCTTTTTGTGACTTTTATAGTGTTGTCTTATCAATATAAGTATTGCTATTTATAGATTCATTACATACACCATATGGTTTTTTAAACAGTTGAAACATTTAGACATTCTATATTCATAACATCACTGTTTTATACAGTCTATTTTCATAATAAAATTATTATCATTGTTGTTTTACAGTTATATTGTTTACATTCAGATTTATTCACGTATTTGTCCTTTATTTGCTTATTTTCTGAAACTCCAAATGCCATTTTCTTTATCCTGAAGAATATATTTGAATATGTTTTTAATGTTCTGTCTGCTTTTGACAATTGCACAGATTTTCTTTTGTTTCCTCTGATAATGTATGTATTTCACTTTTTTTAAGTATGTGTACTTTAACTTCTGGGATAAATGTGCAGAATGTGCAGGTTAGTTTCATAGATATACATGTGCCATGGTAGTTTGCTGCACCCATCAACCCATCATCTATATTAGGTATTTCTCCTAATGCTATCCCTCCCCTAGATCCCCACCTCCTGACAGGCCCCAGTGTGTGATGTTCCCCTCCCTGCGTCCATGTGTTCTTATCGTTCAACTCTCACTTATGAGGGAGAACCTGTGGTGTTTGGTTTTCTGTTCCTGTGCTAGTTTGCTGAGAATGATGGTTTCCAGCTTCGTCCATATCCCTGCAAAGCACATGAACTCATCCTTTTTTATGGTTGCATAGTATTCCCTGGTATATATGTGCCACATTTTCTTTATCCAGCCTATCATTGATGGTCATTTGGGTTGGTTCCAAGTCTTTGCTATTGTGAATAGTGCTGCAATAAACATTCTACTATGAAGACACATACACATGTATTTCACTTTTTATTTTGTAGGTTTATGTCTATTTTTTATATTTTATACTCCAATTCACTAATTATTACCTCAGCTTTGTATAATCTGCTGTTAAAACCATCAATAAAATTCCTAAATTCAGTTATTACATGTTTTGTTTCTCTAATTTACATATTGCTAGTTAATAGTTCCCATTGTTTATTGAAATTCTTTATCTTCTATCTTATTTGAAAATATTAAATATGGGAGGTTTTTGTTTTGTTTTTGCTTATGTCTGATAACATCATTATCTGGATCTTCTCTAGCTCCATTTCTAATGTCTTCGGTTTTTGTTGGATTTTGTTCATATTGTTGCCTTTTGTACCTGTTTTTGACTGGTTGTTTTTGATATATATGGCAGACATTGTATATTAAAAATTATAGAATAACTTAAAAGATCTGGATAATTTTTCCATCTTCAGATGAGTAATTGTTTTGTTTACAATTTGCGAGAAACTAGGCCAGAGAAAATATTTTCATGTCATTTTTATTTTATTAGAAGTTTTCTTCAGGTCACCTGAGGGCTTAGAATTTTTCAGTTGACTCTTGTTCCTAGAGTTTCTTTCCTCAGGGAAACAATGCAAAACCTGGAAGTTTTACCTGAAATACCACTTCTTAGTGGGACTTGAAATTTAATTTTATCCATATGAGTTTATAAATCAAAAGTTTCACTTAGGTTTTTTAATGTCTTATCAGTCTCTTCTGGAATCTATATGTGGCTTCATAGAGTGACTCCAAATGTTAGAATCATCCTTTTGAGTTGTCCTTTCACATCATTTCCCTAGAACTCTAAATTCCCTTGATATTCTATGACTCATTCAATATTTATTTTGATTAAAAATATCTTGTATGGTTTTATTCTCAAATCTCAGCATGAGAATGGGTAAAAATGACTGACAGAACTGTAACAGTCCCTCCATTGCATTTGAAACTTTTTATTTTATTTTATTTTATTTAACCTTTTTTGAGATGGAGTCCATCTCTGTTGCCAGGCTGGAGTGCAGTGGCGCGATCTCGGCTCACTGCAATCTCCACCTCCTGGGTTCAAGCGATTCTCCTGCCTCAGCCTCCCGAGTAGCGGGGACTACAGGTGCCCGCCACCACACCCAGTTAATTTTTGTATTTTTAGTAGAGATGAGGTTTTACTATGTTGGCCAGGCTGATCTCGAACTCCTGACCTTGTGATCTGCCTGCCTCGGCCTCCCAACGTGCTGGATTACAGGCATGAGCCACTGCACCTGGCCCATTGGAAACTTTTGAGCATAGAGTTCCATGATTAAATTTATGCTTTAAAGGGATAAATATATTGTTCTTTATTGAAAATATACTTCATTGAGAAAAATATTATATATATATATATTTATATGCACATAACTAGAGATTGAGGTAATTTTATACTCAACATCACTATTTCAAATTTTAACTTGCTGTTGTACTAAAATAAGAAACTGATAAATTCTCTAAGGTTCAGTTTTGTCATCTATAAAAAAGGAAACTAATATTAGATTAACTATGTTCAAAGTCATATTTCTTTATATATGTATATTCTTATCTCAGAATTTAAAATGTTTTCATAAATATTAAATTAGTAATTCTGATATTTAAAATGTTCAAATCAGTGAGGAAATTAATATTTTATAACATTCTAAATTACCTCTTGCAGAATATATAATAGCTTTAATTTTATTATTTGGGAAAGTTAGAAAACGAGTGTTCTGAGAATTCATGATAACTCATATTTCATTCACTTCTTAATGTTCTAGAGGTTATGAATAAATAATCATGAATCTTCATATATACAAATAAAAATAATTTTGTAATTGGCTCAATTCCTTCAATTCACAATAAAGTCAAACCAATTTTGTCAATGAAGCAAAGTGGAATATTTGTCTTAGTTTTATTATAATGTATAATGGTAGATTTGGTGGGGGAGGTTGATTTAAGAGACAGGAGCAGTTGAGGTAATGGGGTAATGGTGATTTAGGAATATATTTAGACGTGGGACTAAACACCGTACTAAATTAAATAAGGAATAAATCCACATGTATTTTGTATAAATCACCAGTGTGGGATATTTTATAGTATTGGCAGTGGCGTATAACATCATAGCACTCTAGACTAGTGAAAATTAATAGTCATTGTTAGACGAAGGTGACAAATTATGTAGTCAGCCTCACTGATCCAGAAGAATAGTATAAGAATCAAATATTATTACAGACTTTATCATATAGTTAACATAAGAGGTAATTTTCTGCAATTTTTCAGAAACTTCTGTTGTTGTCTGACGTAAAAAATTTTGAATTGCCAATATGCAAAGAGAAACTATATAGACATTATATGTGATACAAAAGAATTGTGCATTATTTGAGATATTCTACATGGCCTTTCACACACAAATTCCTAAACATCCAACAGATGTCAAAATGATTTTCCATAGTTATTGGGGAAATAATAGCAAAATGTAATAAATATGAGTATAGTTTTACCAGATGATTTATCTAACTAGTAAATATTTATTTCATACATAATGAAGGAAAGAAACGATAAGATTGAGTATTGGTTACTTTTCAATTTTATTCATAATAGCTTTACAATGGAATTTAAACCTCTTTAAAAAATTCTCCAGGCGTTTTAGACTATATTGTACTACTGGGAAATTTCAGCAATGTAAACATCTGGCAGTTAGAATATACAGGCAGATAGAGCATCAATTTTAATTGGTGTCTCAATGAACATCTTCTCAAGTAAATATTGAGATACTGAGATAAATTTAAACCATGTTGATTAGGAAAAATCCTCAGGAAATTCTGACATTAAATCATTTGTAATTATGTAAAAACAAAGAAACAGAAATTAACTTAATTGCTAAATATACATCAGTATGTCAGATACAGTGGATCATTAATACTTTGATATTTAACATTCACGTAATGTTTGCAAATATCTATAAAGCTATGTGACAGCTTGATACATAGTGCTGTCTCTATCTTTCTCCCTCTGTCTCTCATTTTCACCTAAATATTAAATCATCTGCATAACTAGAGTTTTAGTTATTTTATTTTTTTATAGAAATTAGGTCTTTCTCTGTCACCCTAGCTGGAGTGTAGTCGTGTGATCATAAGTCACTTTAACGTTGAACTCCTGTGCTTAAGTGTCATTCTGCTTTGGGCTTCCAAAGTGCTGAGATTACAACCATGAACCACCCTGCCTGCCCAGAGTGACTAGAATTTTGTGTAGAAGTAATTTACTTATTATGACGACTTAGTTAACACATAATATCCAACTAATCAAATCAACCGTGCCCTTAAAATCCTTTCTATGATATGATATAAAAGAAAATAACTTTATCCATAAAATATAGACCCAAAAAGGAATCTGTATTAGTTTTCTTGGGTTGCCATAACAAAATACCATAGACAGAGTGTCTTAAATAGCAAACACGTATCTTCTCACAGATGTGAAGATTAGAAGTCAAAGATCATGGTGACATTAGGGTTGGTCTCTGGTGAGTCTTCTCTCTTCAGCTAGTAGATGGCAACTTCTCCCTATGTTTATACACAGCCTCTACTCTGTGGGTGTGTGGAAAGAGAGAAATCTCTGGGGTCTTCCTCTTTTTATAAGGACACTGTCCTTATTGAATTAGTGCCCTCTCCTTATGATCTCAGTTAACCTTAATGTCCTCCTTAAAAGCCCCTTTCTCCAAATACAGTCACATTAAGGGTTTGGGCTTTAACCAATGAATTTAAGGAAGACAAAATTATGTCCATAACAGAACCCAACATTCAGCTGTGATTAAAAAAAAAAGTCACAGAAAAATAAAAAAACAAAAAAAAGTCACAGAAAAATAAAAAAAACAAAAAAAAAGTCATGTGTCATTGTGAAAAATTGACCATTTTTATTAAATGAACTATAATTGTTATAATAAAAACATAAAGCAATTTTGTTTTCCTAATCTCCCATAGTTTCTTCAAATCCTCTTTCAATGTTATTTGTTCCCCGCTGTATAAAACACAGGCACATTACAAAGCTTTCTCAATAATACATTACTTTAGTCAAAAGAACAGTCTCATTTAAGAAAGTAAGGTATCTAGCTTAAACAATAAAAATAATCACGTTTCTGAATTTTTTTAAGGCTAAAGCTTTGCCCCTGTTATAGTTCACCATTATTTCAGGTTTAAAAATCTGCACTTGGGTGTTGGGATTCTCTTTTTCTCTATCTAGTCTATTTTCTTTCATAAAAGTCTAAGAAATACATATTTCCAATAAGATTTCTAAAACTCATCTCAATTGGTTTAAGGTGAACAAGAAGTCCTCCTCCAAATTCCAATGTCCCCTATCCATCATCTTAGAACCTACCCCCTTTGACAATCATTAATTTTAATAATATATTCTTTTTAGTTTCCTTCTTATTGACTACTCCAACTGCTGACATGGCTTAAAGGTGATGATCATTAATGTTGGAAGAAATCTTAATATTTCAGAATATCTCATTTAGCCTTGGAACTTACTTAAAGATGTAATGGTATCTGACCCCAATATATTTTTGTTGGCCCTTATGACGCATTTTATCCTAGTGATACATGTACATTTTTGATAAATTTACATGTGAAATAATGAAAATTATTTTTTCTTATGAGCTATGTACATTGGAAATGGCATGTTAGGGTGCAAAAGTTACTCTGAAATTTGTTTTATGTGCTAATCTGAGCCTTACTAATTTAGAAATTGGAAAAGTACTCATATGCCTTCCAGAAAATTTCAAGTTGTCTACTGTAATGCAATTTACTTTTTCTGTATAGAAAAATATTAGAATGTACAGTGAAGTTAAGGAACTTTAATTTCATCATCCTTATAACAAACAGCAATACCCTCAGTTTAGAAGGACACTAGATGTTGGAACCTAATCAGTATCATCCAAGGTACATTTATTTTTCTACCCATAAGGCTTTCTGGACCAAAATAAGCAAAAACCATAATGTAGCATATGGATTGCAAAAAGATAAAATTCTTCATCTAGTTCTAAGTCCACCAACCTTCTAATGCAATTTTGCATTTCCTCTCATTAAGAGACAAAATCTGTTTTTCCAATTCTTGAATTTGGGCTGACCTTGTAACTTACTTTTGCCAATATAATTTAAAGGACTTTATTATATTTTCATTCTGAATTTACCCCTTAAGAACATTTGCTTGTTTCATCCCTTTTTGGGAAACTTGTTACAACTAGCTTATGCTATACTGATGAATGATGAAAGAAGTGCTGCCCTGTAATTGCTGTTGCCATAGTAAACACACAGCCCACTACCGAACAGGTGTTAAGACCATCCTATACTTGCCAGCACCAACTGACCAGCCAGCTGATTACACAATTATGAGAAAGGTCAGTTGAAATCAATACAAATAAGAAGAACCATGTAGCTGACCAATAAGCTTTAAGATGATTTATTATGAAGCAACAGCTAAGTGATAACACATATCTGAACACTGGTTAAAACGTTTGTTTGTACACACACACAAGCATACACAGAGAAAAGGAGTAATTATATTTACACAGACATTAATTTCCTTTTGCAAATTTCTAAACAGGACTCAATAAAATAAATATCAACCAATAATTTTGACCACTTTTTAAATAGGCATAATTTTATATCTTATCAATATAGAGCAATAAGATATGCTAATTATTTGTTTCTTAGCAATCTGAGAGTCTATGTAGAACAGACATTTTTCAGTCCAAATGTCTAACACATAGTAAATCCTCACAATCTGTTTCTTTTAAAATAGATTTCATAATTTGTGAACAATAATAAAGGTTCAATTAAGTGATAGATATGGGTGGAGCTGATAAATAAATTTTAAGAAGGGAGGTGGAGAGACAGAAAGAGAGAAAAAGAGCAGCAATTATTGCACATTTAAAGTCAAGCCATTAGTACTTTTCACGAGGGGGAAGACTGGAAATGTACTAGAATTGTTCGGGTTGTCCCAGTGCCAGAGCCAGGGTGAAGCAAACTGTTATGAGGCAGGTGTTTACTACTGTCATTTTATATAGGCAGGGGCCAGAGATACCAAACTTCTTGTAATGCCTAGAATAATTCTATACAATAAAAATTGGGTCACCTATAATCCCCATAATACTTATATTGAAAAATCCTGAGCAGAAATTGGCTAAAAGAAAAGATATGTGTACATAAATATATTACATTTATTTTTGAATGGCTTTAATTAGACTTTTGGCTATTCATATGACACATAGAATTCAAAGAATCACATATGAACCTTCTTTTAGATCTCTTAATAAGTGGCTTAATAAAAAAGTTTTCATATGAAGAAGGCCCCCATGGAATATTACATCCTCATCTTTGCTTTAAGAACAATTTGAAATTAATATGATCACTCTTTACATGCGCTGACCTTGTCTTGAAAAATAAGATTTCTTAAACCAATTCACATCCACTTTTATGCTATGTCACTGAGAAAAATAGGATTATTTAACAATTGTATAAGCCAGGGTACCGAAACTATTGCATCTCAAATGTGACTGCATGAAGAGAAAGAAAGAAATTTCAGGGTAACGGATCGTCATAATTTAAAGTTGAGTGGTGATCAGTGATCTAGATATTCCATGCATATCAAAGTCTGTGGTTACTCTACTCCACAAGAGATCCACCGAATCCTCACAATGACCTTTTTGAAAAGTGAGTGACACAACACTTGATATTCACAATCAAACATTTAAAATTACACCAGAAGGATCTTTTGTAGGTGGGAATGTAATAGCCAGTGTATTTGTTAGTTAGGTCTCTTAGCTTAAGTTAGTCTCTTAGCTAAGTAGTGATTATTCTAAATTATTTAAATATTTCAATTCTGCAAAGTCTCTGAATCATATTAATGTTTTAAAATTCTGAGTCTTTGGAGTTGTGTTTGCCTTTAAATCATTTCCCTAATAATAATAATAATAATAATAATAATAATAATAATAACAATAATAATAACAGAGAACCCAATCAATTAAGTTGGAAAATTGGTGGGCAATGTTTTCCTATTAATAATAGGGAAATAATTAACATCAAGTTGACCAGCAACTTGTGATTAGTATCTTGTCTCTGTGTTTCTCATCTTTTTTGTTCTTAGTTATCTTTTTTTGGTACCAAAAAAACCAAAATAAAAACAAAATAGGGGCTCTATTATTGAACATTGCTTAATACATAGGCAACATGGCTTCATTAGGAAATTTTCTCATTTATCTTTTTCAGCAATTTTTGCTCTTATTATGATTACAAAATAGACTTAAGAGAGTGACATCAGCACAAGGGCAGAGTAGCCAACTTCAGAAAATATCTCTACCACAGAAGCATTGAAAACCAAACAGAAAGTATGAGAAGGAACTTTATTAGAACTCTGGAACACATTCAAAGCTTTGCAGCAACCAAGCAAACACTGAATTGAAAAAGGACAACATAAAAATGAAAATAAAGTTCTGTGACATTTTTACTTGATATTCTCCCAATTCCTCTCTGACTTGGTGATAGTCTTGAGAACAATAGCCCATGTTATCAGTGTGGATGTCTGATCCAGAGGAAATGTAGCAGATCTTATTTACAAATTATTGTGTGTGCTTATTCGAACCTGTCTTGATGCTGCCTGAACGACTGACAAAATGTGCTCATCTGTTTTGTGTAACTCAGAACCCAATCAATCAGGTTGGAAAACTGGTGGGCAATGTTTTGAAACATTTTATGGTGAATAAAAATCTCTCAGCCACTTGGGGTAAAAAATTACAGTTGAAACAAAATAGACGACCTAAAAACTGGGAGAAAAAGCAGGGGAGAGAATTCCTTTGGGAAGTTAAGACATTTAAAAGTGCCTGTAAATACTAGGAAATTTAGAAAGCCACATACATGCTCTGGACAGGACTCATGTTCAGAAAAGGTCTGAGGAGATACTCGGCTTCACTGTTGGCTGAAATGCTTGGAATTCATGGAAATCTCTGTCAAATCATTGGTTATCATGAGCTAAATGAAAAGGGACTTCAATAACCACAAATAATAAGAAATGCAGTCTTTATAAAAACAGTTTGGAAAACACACACACACACACACACACACACAAAGTTCAAGCACAGGAAATGTTAAGGAAAGGGAGAATCTGATTTCCAGAGTTCCTACATGATATTTTTCAAACATCTCTTTTCAAAAATAATTCAAATCATGTACACAAACAGTGGCATATGATTCCTTCGAAAAAAAGGAAATTAAGACTATTCCTGAGGAGACCCAGACACTGGATTTAATACACAAAGACTTTAAATCAATTGGCTTAAATATGCTCAACAGTTAAAGGAACCTAAAGGAAAACAGGAAGACAGTGTAAGAAGTGGTGGTTTATCAATTTTGTTTCTTATTAAAAAAACAACTTGTCACATTGTTTATCTTTTTGATTTTTTAGTCTCCATTTTATTTAGTGCTGCTCTGAACGTTATTATTTTTTCTTCTGTTTTGGGGTTTGCATTGTTCTTGGTTTTTTTTTTTCTTTAAGATTCATCATTAGTTTGTTTATTTGAAAACCACCTCCTTTTTTGATTAGGCATTTATTGCTATAAACTTTCTGCTTAGCACTGCTTTTGTTGTATCCCAGAGGTTTGAGTATGTTGTATTTCTATTTTCATTTGTTTCAAGATTTTTTGAAAGTTTTCTTCTTTCTTTCTTTCTTAGCCCAATGGTCATTCAGGAGCATATTTTTAAATTTCCATGTATTGCTACTGTTTCCAAAGTTCCACTTGTTTTTTATTTCTAGTTTTATTCCATTGTGGTTTGAGAAGATATTTGATATGACATCAATTTTTACAAATATGTTGAGACTTGTTTTTTGTCCTAACATATAGTTTATCCTTGAGTATCCATGTTCTGATGAGTAGAATGTATAATCTGTAGCTACTGGATGAAATGTTCATAAATGTCTGTTAGGTCCACTTAGTGTAAGGTGCAGTTTAAATATAATGATTCATTGCTAATTTTCTGTCTATATGATCTGTCTAATGCTGAGACTGGGGTGTTGAAGTTCCCAACTATTATTGGATTGAATTCTATCTCTTTTTTAAAATTAAATTAAATTAAATTTTTTTTAGAACTGTGGTCTCACTATGTTGCTGATGCTGGTCTCGAACTCCTGGGCTCAGGTGATCCTCCTGCCTCAGCCTTCCAAATATCTATTCTTTTACATCTGATAATATTTGCTTTATATATCTGGGTGCTCTGGTATTGGGTGCATGTATATTTAGAATTGTTATATCCTCTTGCTAAATTGATCCCCTTATTAATATAATATAATGATCTTCTTTGACTTTTAACTGTTGTTGACTTAACGTCAGTTTGTCTGATATAACTACCCCTGCTTACTTTTTTTTCAGCTTGTATGAAGTATTTTTTTCATACCTTTATGTTCAGTCTGTGTTTCTTTCCAAGTGAGATTTTTTTTGTAGGCAGCATATAGTTGGGCAATTTAAAAAATTTATTTAGTCACTATAGATATTTTAAGTGGAAAGTTTAATCCATTTACATGTAATTTATTATTAATATGTGAAGGCTTATTCCTGTAATTTATTAATTGATTATAGTTTTTTATGTTCTTTGTTCCTGTCTTTCTCTCTGATTATTATTATTGCAGTTTGATACCTTTCTGTAGTGGTAATATTGAAGTTTTTTCTCTTCTTCATTTGCATGTTTACTCTACCAGTGACTGTGTACTTTTATTTGTTTTCATGACAGTAGATATCATCCTTTTGCTTCCACTTGTAGAACTCCCTTAGGCATTTCTTGTAGAGTTAGTTTAGTGGTAACGAATTCCCCTAGCTTTTGCTTGTCTGGGAAAAATTTTATTTCTCCTTCGTTTATGAAGAATAACTTTTCTTTGTATAATCCTTGGCTGGCAGTTTTCCCCCCAGCATTTTAAATATTTAAATATTTTTAATATTAAATATTTAATATATAAATATAAATATATCATAGCATTCTCTCTTGGCCTGTAAGTTTTCTGCAAAGAAATCGTCATTTACTCTAATGGAGATTCCCTTAAATGTGAATATATATGTATATATATGTGTATATATATGCACACACACACATACATATACACAGAATATTATTATCATTAAAAGGGAATGAAATTCTGATATAGGCTGTGATATTGTATAATTTTATTTATATGAAATATGTAAATAGGAAAATATGTAAATATGTAAAATAGGAAAATTCATAGAGAGATACAGTAGATTAAATGTTACCAGAGGCTAGGAAAGGAAAAGGGGGAGTTATTGCTTAATGCATATGCAGTTTCTGTTTGAGGTAATAAAAAATTTTGGAAAAAGTGATGATGGTTATACAAAATATGTATTAATTAATGGCATGATATTGTGCACTTAAAGTGATTAAAATGGCATATATATATATATCTATATCTTTATAATGAAAACAAAAGAAAATAAAGTATACTTAAGAGTGAGAGAATTTTTTTTTTTTTTTTTTTTTTGAGACAGAGTCTCGTGCTGTCGCCCAGGCTGGAGTGCAGTGGTGCCATCTCTGCTCACTGCAACCTCTGCCTCCCAGGTTCAAGCGATTCTTCTGTCTCAGCCTCCAGAGTAACTGGGACTACAGGCACCCGCCAACACGCCCGGCTAGTTTTTGTATTTTTAGTAGAGAAAGAGTTCGAATAAAATTGATGTATTTACTAATTGACCTCAATACTATAAACTCCTCAGCCTTGAAATCAAAGCTTTCCATGTGTGGCTCAAATGTACCTCCTTAAGCACATGGCTTAATTTTACTTTACCCTAGACTTTCCTGAACTCACACTATTTCCTTTTCTGTCATATAAAACTATCCTGTCTTTATCTGCTGATAAATTTACCCATTCCTTAGAGACCACTTCAAATATACTTTTTGTGAATTGTACACGGACCTAGAAGCTTTTCCTCTAAATTCCCTTTAATTTAATTGTACTTTATGGAACTCATTCTATTTGTCTAATTCTATTAAATATTAAGCTTGTAAAAGATCTTCACTCAGCATACTTTTTATGGTCCAATCCAGAAACTTCATGTAAAAATTGCTGGGACTCTTACCCCGTAACTATGATGAATATTTAATCAAAGAAGATTTAAGCACTTTTTGATAAAAATTATATTAATCATGATTCCAGGAAACAACTTTGGGGAGTTCTTATGAATTCTCTCACGTGTTGAATGAACTACCATTTTAATTTCAAGGAAACCTCAGGTCTTCACTGGGCATATTTCTTCAACTCATGGGGAAAAAGGACAAAAATTTCTGCTCAGTTTCTGTAACTGTCAGAAAGTTGTCAGCTATAATATTTGCTCATTTAATCTTTAAATTTTATGAATCTAGCCTTTGTCAACAATGAAAAGCAGTTTACCTTCAGTCTTTTGTTAGAGACAAAAATGATCACTCTCACTTTAAAACCCCCTTAGGGTAAATGTTGTGGACACACCCACACATAAAAATAAAATTCTGAGCATTAACCTAACTGAACAGATCCCCTCTTGGCCAAGGAATCCCAGAGAAACTTTGGAATGAGTTCAATGCCATGCTTTCATAGTTCTGACACTCATTCCACCTCCTCCCTTACTGTCATTAGGCTTTCTTCCCTAAGGGCTAAAAAGAAATCAGCACTTTCAAAGGACTCCACACTGATCATGTTGATAATGTGGATTGCTAGTTTGTCTTCTCAGGTACTTAACAAAGACGAGATTAATCATTCCTTTGCTCCTCTCTAAGACACCTGTTTCTTCCCTTTTTCTTCAAATGTTCACTTTATCTTATTTAAAGTGTAGATTTACTGGGCACTGATTAACATCTCACAGGTGTGTAATAATTCCTCTCACTGCTGTTCCCCCACTCCCCACCTTTTTAAGGAAAATGTGCAATACCTAAACATCCTGAGAACCTCTTTGGGAAAACAAACAAACAAAACAAAACAAAACAAAAACCAACCCACAGATCCACCTGTGATTCTTGTTTTTTAAGGGTGTGCCCTCAAGCTGGCTCAATAAACCTTGAAATTTGAGACTTACATCTCAATCACTCAAATTCCTGGCTCTGAAAACTGAAGTTAGGCTAATGACTTTTTATCATCTATTTTATAATCAGGCTAGTTGTTTATTACCACTAGTATTGTATTTTTGTCCTCAATATATAGATATTTGGCCTCAACTTATTTGAGATATTAGTAATATAATATCTTTTCATAGTCTTACACTTATCTCTATGGCTATTTTTGCATTTTTCTTTTGTTCTAATACATTTTTAAATTATTTTTTGCACAAACAACAATACATAACAGAGTACATGAGCAGTTAGAAAAATATATACAAAATGAGTAAAATAAATAAAAGGCAGAACTCAATTTGTCCACAAATACTATTAATGTTATGTTTCCTCTCTCTAATATCCTTCATTGGAACTGAAGTATATGTGGCATTTCTAATTCATAGCTCCCTTTGCCTTAATAACCATTAGTCAAAGTAGTAATCTTAGTAATCTCACAGTGAGTGATTGAGTTGAGTTCTCTCAAAGAAGAATTAAACTGAAAGATTTTCAGTTTTTGTGTTTGTACAAAAACTTATTATTTTAAATTTTAAATTAACATCCTATTTATTATTTATAAGGCTTTTGAAACATCTTAACATACTGAAAGATAAGGTTCTTCCAATTGATTTAATTTCTACTTGAAAGGAGTTCTTTGAAATCTTATCTGCATTGGTGTCAATAGAGATAACTTTTAAGTTCCCATGACAAAATCCCGTGACTTCAAGGAATGTCATTGGAAAGCATTTTAAACTAGAAACAATATTTTCTGTTGTTTTATTCTTTTTAATGCTACCGTATCAGAATACAACATATTGGCTAATTTATAATGGAAATAAATCCATTTGACTCATGGTTCTGGAACTAGAAAGTCCAAGGTTGAGGGGTTACATCTAGTGAGTACCTTCTTGCTGCATCATCCCATGGCAGAAGGTAAAAGGCAAGAGAATGTGAGCAGTCAAAACAAAGAGGGGGCTAGACTTGCCTTCATAACAAATCCACTCTCATGATAACAAACCCTCTTCCACGGTAATAAACCCACTCTCAAGATGTCAACATTAATTTTTTTATAAGTGAAGAGCCCTCATGACCTAATCACCTCTTAAAGATCCCACTTTTCAAAACTGTTGCATTGGGAATAAAGTTGCCAACACTTAACTTTCGGGAGACACCTTATAGCATTCCATCCCCAAATAGATGTATTAATGTATATTTTTTCGTGAAAAAATTATTATTCCATCCCAACAGCCCCCAAATCTTAACTTGTCCCAGCACCAACTCAAAAGTCTAAATTTCAAATTCTCATCTAAATCATGTTTACGTGAGACACAAGGCATAATTCATCTGCGGCAAATTTCTCTTCAGCTGTATGCCTGCGAAAGTAAACAAATTACTTCTAAAATACAATGATGGAACAGGCATAGGAAAGACAATCACATCACAAAAGAGAGAAATAGGAAAGAAGAAAAGGGTGGCTGTTCCCAAGGAAGTCCAAAATCCAAGAGGAAAAACAATAGTAAGTGTTTAAAGCTGGAGAATAATTTCCTTTGGCTCCATATTCCAGGTTCCATGAACACTGGGGTGGGGGTTGGACCACTAAGGCTTCAGGCAGCCCTGCCCTTATGGTTTCATTGGGCTCAGTCTATCCAGTAGCTCTGGACGGCTGGAGTCTTATGTTTGCAGCTCTTCCAGGCTAGAGTTGTATGCTGGAGATCCTACAGTTTGGGGGTGCCAGGGGATCCCCCACTCCCATGGCCCTGCTAGGTATTAGCTGTGAGGACTCTGCAGTGGTAATTGTCATAAATAAAGTTTTGGTGCCACAAAAGAAATAGCACTCGAATATAAAATTTTCTTTTTAGTCCTCAGCAAGGCAAGTTACTTCTATAGAAGGGTGCCCCCTTACAGATGGAGCAATGGTGAGCACACACTTGGACAAGGGAGAAGGGGTTCTTATCCTTGATACATGTGGCCCTTGCTGCTGTGTCGTTCCCCTATTGGCTAGGGTTAGACCGCACAGGTTAAACTGATTCCCACTGGCTAATTTAAAGAGAGTGACAGGGTGAGTGGTTATGATAGAGCAGGTAATTGGAATGAGTCAGGGTGGAGCAGGTGATTGGAATGAGTCAGGGTGGAGCAGATGATTGGAATGAGTCAGGGTGGAGCAGGTGATTGGAATGAGTCAGGGTGGAGCTGGTGATTGAAATGAGTCAGGGTGGAGCAGGTAATCAAAAAAGGTTGCTTTATGAGGAAGTTAAATTTAAAAGTAGAAGGCAAAGAATTGAACATACTGATTCTTTGAAAAGAAATTTAGGACTCATATCTAACATCTTGCTCTTGTGATCCTGTGGGGCATTACTTTAGTGAGGCATCTCTATGATGGCTTCAACCCTGAGACAAGTCTCACCTGGGCCCCAAGGCTTCAAAAACATTCTTTGAAATCTAGGTGGAGACGACCATTAGCCCACAGCTCTTGCATTCTGTGTACTTGCAGAATTAGCACCATTATGACACTGCTAAGGTTTACAGATTGTACCTGCTAGACCAGTAGTCCAAGCCACACCTTCTGGAGTAGTGGTTTGAGACCTCTAGACCATAGCTTGAGTGACCAAGGAGTACTGCACCAGAATTCTAGGAGCAGAGTCCTAAGGCAGTGCAGGGCAGCAAATTCTAAGTTCCTGTGGACACCTCTCTGGAAACCTTGCCCTCAATGTTCTAGATTTACTGAAATGACTTCACGGTTATTCTTTCTTTGTTTTAATGAATAGGACCAAGCTATCTTTTATCCATTTTAATCTCCTTAGCAGTTCATTGGCCACACCCTTACTATTCTTTCCTGATCATGACTTTTTATTCTTTTTTTTTTTTTTTTTTCTTTGAGACAGAGTCTCACTCTGTCGCCCAGGCTGGAGTGCAGTGGTGCAATCTCGGCTCACTGCAAGCTCCGCCTCCCGGGTTCACGCCATTCTCCTGCCTCAGCCTCCCGAGTAGCTGGGACTACAGGCGCCCGCCACTATGCCGGGCTAATTTTTGTATTTTTAGTAGAGACGGGGTTTCACCGTGTTAGCTAGGATGGTCTCGATTTCCTGAGGCTTTTTATTCTTTACATGACCAGGCTGAGAGTTTTTCAAGGGTTTTGATTCTATTTCCCTTTTAATTACAAATTCTGTCTGCAAATCATCTATCTGTTTTCTCATTTTACTGTAAGCTGTCAAAAGAAGTTATGTGGAACCTCGAATACTTTGGTTCTTAGATATTTCTTCTGCCAGGTATCCTAATTCATCATTCTTACCTTCTGGCTTTCACAAAGCCCTAAGACATGGACACAATTCTGCCAAGTTCGCTGCAACTATGTAACTAGCATGGTCTTTATTTCACTTTACAAAATCTTTATCTTTATTTCCATCTAAGACATCATCGGAATGACATTTATTGTTTATATTTCTACCAACATTCTGATCACAACTACTCAAATAATCCCTAAGCAATTTCTGACTTTCTTTACATTCCGTTTCTTCTTCTGTGCCCTCACCAGTCATCCTTAATGCCCCATGCATTACAATCTAAGCTTTTTCTAGCCTGCTCCTCTAAATTCTTCCAGCCCCTACTCAGTACCCAGTTCTAAAGCTGCTTCCACATTTTCAGGTATTTGTTATAGCAATGACCAAATTTCTTGGTACCATTTTTCTGTTTTGGTCCATTTTATGCTTTGATAACAGAATACTGCAAGCTGGATAATTTCTAAGGAAAATAAAATTATTTGGCTTATAATTTTGGAGACTGGGAAGTCCAAAATTGAGAAACTGTGTCTTGTGAAGGCCTTCTTGCTGCATTATCCCATAATGGAAGGTGGAAGGATAAGAGAACACACGTGAGAAAAAGCAAGAGGAGGCCAACCTTGCCTTTATAAAAAGCTACTCACTCTCAGAATAAGAAACCCATTCCCATGACAATGACATTAATTTATTCAAAGGGCAACCCCCCCATTACCCAGGCACCTCTTTATAGATCCCGCCTCTCAACACTACTGCGTTGGAAATTAGGTTTCCAACACATGCTGTTTGGGGAATACCTTCAAACCCTAGCCTCTGTATTAATATGTTGAGTTGTTATACTGGGCAAATACCAATTCCAAGCAAAATAAAATTTTAAAATTTTCTCTGGTGTTTTATTCTTCTATATCCATCTCCAAATACATAATGTTACTACTCTGAAGTAAATAACAACAAAAAATCTTAGTGTGCTTTGGGGGAAGGAAATGAGAATGGTAGCACATATAGATAGAAATGTGACCAAAAAATGAAAAATAAAACATGATTGGAGCTTGTCTGTATTTACTTTGTAAAACTCATTTTTTGAATTATATTCAATGCAATATATTAAACAACTTAATAGCAAAACAGGAAAAATCATTCGTAGAATATGTTTTGATTTTTAGGATGCATAGATATTTCTTGAGGAGAGAAGTGACACATTGATGTTACATACAAAAGGAACATAGAGATGAAAATCACGATGGGTATCAATGGTCTGAAACAGGTTACAGAAAAACCTGTGAGAGAAACCCTTTTTATCTCCATTGTCCCATGTGATTTTTATTTCGTTCACCAAAAGACATATGAACAGTTTCTATTTCTTTGTATTGTTCAATAGTGTGAAATGACAAGGCAACAATTTATTCACACAGCTTTTAAGACTCAAATTCACTATCTTGATCCCAAACACAAAGATAGTCTAATCAAAACATAACTCAGGATTTAGCCTGCTGATAAAGCCAGTTAGATCCATGTTCTCTTTCTTACTTTCTAGTCAAGGGTTTTTTATCCAAATATTTGCTAAATAGAATGGTATTCACAAATGTTAGTGTACCTCTAATCAGCCATGTGGTCAAATGAGTTAACAGGCCTCTCTCTTTTCCAATCAAATACTACGTATATAACAATGACTCTCAATCCTATGTTCTAGTCCATATTAACTTTCTGAGTTTTTCACGGCATTAGACTCATTGATCCTTCCATCTCTGAAATGCTCCCCTCCTCTGCTTTCTCTCATTCTATTTTCTCCTGATTTTCTTCCAGCTTCTGTGCCTGTCCTATATAAATGTGCCTCTCTTCCAGGATTTCAATCTCTATTCAATGCATGTATTTTTTTCTTTTTTCCTCACTCATCCAACTTTCTGGGTGTTTTCATCCATAGCCTACACTGTCATTGTAAGTCGCTGGTATTTCTTTTATTTATTTGCTTCATTATTTCATTTTGTATACCAGATACTATGAGCCATGCATTATGCTAAGTGCTGAGATGCAGGAGTGAACAAAGACAACAGAATTCGCTGCCTATATACGGAGGTTAAATTTTAGTGGGGAAGACAGACAATAAAATAGTAAGCAAAAGGTAGAGAAAGTATTGTGAAGAGAAATAAAACATTCAGGTAATTGAGTCTAGCAAAGACTGTGTCCTCTTTTTTTATAAGGTGCTTGGGAAAGACAGGAATGATAAAGTAACATTTCAGAAGTGAAATGAAGGATGTGAATGAATGACCTTGGTGTTACTTGGGGGAATACCATTCCAAACAGAAGAATACATGTAAGATCCCTGGTGGAGAACATGGGTTGAATGTTTAAGAACATCAGGCAGCACTACATGTGGTCATGACAAGGCACATATTTGAGAGAATAGAGATGAGAGAGACAGATCATTTGTGGGGGCTGATAGCCTATCTTAAAACTCTGGATTTTATTTATAGTGATATTGGTGGTCTACTGACAAGTTTTAAATAGAAGTATACCATGATCTGCTTTTGTAATAAAAAGGAATTCCCTGGTGGTTCTACGGAGCTTAGAGTTGGAAAGTGTCAAAGAAGCTGACCAGATTAAAAACTATTGCAATAGTGAAAACAAAGGACAATGGTGATTTGGCTAAGATGCTAGCAGTAGAGGTGGTAAGGATATTGTCAATTCCAGATATATTTCAAAGGGGTAGTTTCTTCGAACCTCTAGCATATATTTCGATAGGCATATTTAATGTTTCTGCCTGAAACTTAAGGTTTGAGAATTACATCTCAATCTTGCCATGCTTAAAACCAAGGACATCAACCTTGTCTTATTGTGTTTAGGATACCATGTCAAAATATCTTAGACTGGATATTTTATAGACGACAGAGTTTATTGATCACAGTTCTGAAATCTGAGGTGTCCAAGATCATAGTACCAGCAGATTTGATCTGGTGAGTGCCTGGTCCTCTTAGATGGCACCTCATCTCAGATGTGTCCTCACCCTGCAGAAGGGGAAGGCAGCTCGCTGGGACCTTTTTAAAAATAAGGACACTAATCCCATTGATGAAAGGAGAGCTCTCATTACTTAATAATCTTTCAAAGACCTCACCTTCTTAATATCATCACCTCGGTTACTAGGTTTCGAAGTATAAGTTTTGGTGAGACACACACTCAAACTATAGCAAACCCTTATAAACCTCATCCCCTACACCCAATGTCATTTCTTAATTGCATAATAAAAGTTATCTAACGGCTATAAACCTTCACCTTCCCATATGTCATAGGTGACTAAAAATAATACCCCTTCTCAAAATGGCTGGATAATTTAATAAAAAAAAATTGTCCATGTCCCTTTTCTCTCTTATCTCTTTCTACTGCTGCTCATCTCTACACCTTCACCTGCACGCTGTACTGTAACCCTTTAGATTAGAGAAATCATTTATGAATTTCTACCATTACTATCATCATTTTAGAAATTTGTTTAAATGCAGATCCCCAGCTATGCTCCCTGCTCTCTCTGGAAAAAAACAAAACAAAACAAAACAAAACAAAACAAAACAAAAAAAAACCAGAAAGATTCTGTTTTGCTGGATAAGCCTGGGGTAAATAAATGACATTCATATTTTTTCAAAGATTTCCAGATGTTTCTAATTCTAAAGACCACTCGGGTTTTTGATGGACTGACACAGACTTCCCTGAAGGAACCTGGCTATTATACAATACCTTACCTCTGATTTTTCTGCCTGAATATTCTTCAGTATGCCTGTCAACCTGGAAACCTTCTATATTTTCTGCCAAATCATCAGGAAATATCACTTTATTTGAAAATACCTTTTGTGAAGCCCTCAATCACTTTATTATTCTCTTCTCCATAGTGATACTTCAGCTTGAAATTTTTCTTTTGCTATATTTTTCCCACTGTAATGTATTTTTTTTTAACTTACATATATCTCCTCAGGTAATTGCAAAAGCATTGAAGAATAGAGTATTATCTGCCTTCTTCTTTCTGCTACTTGGCATAGTACATACTGGATTACCCATAAATCTCTGTTAAGCTTTCTTACAAGTTGAATTCCCTCATTGGTTTTCGAATACAGGCATCTTTAAAATAATTATAAGGAAGGAAGGAAGGCAGGATGGAAGGAAGGAAGGGAGGGAGGGAGTGTGGAGGGAGACAGAGAGAGATAGAGAAAGAAAGGAATGAAAGAAAGAAAAAGAAAGAAAGAGAAAGAAGAGAGAAAGGAGGGAAGAAGGAAGGGAAGGAAGGAAGGAAAGAAGGAAGGAAGAGAGGGAGGGAGGGAGAGAGGGAGGAAGAAGGGAAGGAAAGTCTGAAAACAGAAATAGTGTTCACCTTCTGAGCTTTTTCCTATAAGTAATCCTATACTGTCTTCTTATGTTTATGATTTAAAGTATGTGACCATACATTTTCCTATGGTATGACCAAAGAAAGAAGCAGCTCACTGTCATATTTCAGCAATGGGGAAATATCATAATTATTTTTGCCTGTATTATTATTGGCTTGACGTTTTTCATTTTACACACAGAAAAACATATTCACATTGTTTTCTATTTGACCCTAGGTATAATTTTTCAGACATCTAACTTATATAGGCCTTGGGTACAGTAATTTATATTCAATGAGAGAGGTGAATAAATGGAAAAACCATGCATGCTATGAGATTTTGAGGAGTTTGTTGTTTCTTTTTTAAGTGGGAAATTTGTGGGGAAACCTATACAGATGGAACACTATGATAACACATTAAAGAAGTGAACCCTGGGTCTACAGATTTCAACTGTGTGTCTCTGTTGACTTTAAACTGTCAGAGTTTGAGGACAGTTAAAAGCTTTGAACTATTGAAGTGAAAATTTTCCAAACTATAAATCTTTCAAGGAGGAGGGTATAGGACAGGTTAGTCACTATAGACTAGTACACAATGTGAATGTTGGTAAGAAATGAGTACTAAACAGCCAGCATTCTTCCTGGAGGTGGGCCCTAAAGTCATAGAAAAATTATTTAAACGTACTGAATTTTTCAGCATCATGGCATGCTGAGCTGACAAGCCTCATTCCTCACAATTAAAAACACCTAAAAATGTCAAATACTATAAAAAAATTCTGAGAATTGTTTTATGACTGTAAACAGGAATTTGTATTCTTTTTTGGGGGGTGACCTTACTACTAACAAGTCGCTGCCATGCTATCTTTCAAAGAAAATTAGAGTATTTGATCTAATGATAATTAGTCATCTATTAACTACTAACATATAAGCTAATGAGAGTTAAAAGCAGAATTCCGATACACAACTTGGGGAAGAAGGTAAGTGTTCCTCATCCAAAGATGAACAGAGACCCCTACTTATGATGATGCTTGTGGGTAAGTAGACTATAAAGTCAATAAGAAGCAAATTCACCGGTAGGCTACTTTGCCATGATTCATTGTTTGCTTGACGGGTGAAATCCTACCTTACCTTAAGCTCTCTCTTTTTAAACAACACTCATATAATAGGGAACCCAACTGTAGTCAAAATCATTGGGTAAGAATATCTCACACTTCTTGTATCACATCCAGCTTGAGGTAGAATATTTTATTCTTGTGGGCATATTACCTATTGATAAATTAGGACAGCATAGAATGTCTCTACCGTCTTTCTTTTTTACTCAGTACAGTAAATATATACCATTTCCTTTTTACAAGCCTATTATTGATTCAGTAATTGATCCATAAAGATGAGTTGGGAACAATTGACATAAATGATTTTTTATCACAGTTAATTCCTCTGGTTTCTATTCCAGCAACTATACAATATTATTTTTCTAATGCATTTACATTACAATTAAATCTTAACTAATTTTAAAGGGAAAAATAAACACATTGTCTGAATATAAAATGATTAAAATTTAACTTAATAAGACAAACTAAGAAAGAGAAAAGGTCATTTTATTTAAAATGTTTCTTCTTCAATGACTTTGGGGTCACAGACGAAAGTTCAAAAGCATGCAACTAAAATATATTTTTTAAAGTGAAAAAATTATTAAGTATATGAAATCTGAACAAATCTTTACTCAGAAAAATATTTAAACTTTAAATATTTTGATTACAATAAAGACAATTGAAAATGAATGAAAAGATGGTATAACATTTAAAATGTTTAAACATTAAATGATTAAACATTTAAAAGCAGCAAAAACATAATCTAAAAGTGGTATTAATACAATGAACAAAAGCAAGAAATAATGGAGTAAACAGCTCACAATAATTGCAATTGTAAAATAAAACCTAAGCCATATTGTGGAGAGCAATGAAATAATTTCAAGTGTGAGGTGATGTATACAGGTTTGTTGTAATCTAGGTGGAAAAATACTGGGTGATATCCCACTTTAAACAGTGTTATCTGTCTAATGTCCATTGAAGAATCTTTAATCCTAGGTTTGCACCTATTGTTTCAATTGCAGTTGCTGTCTCAATTGGTGAGGTTAAGTCTAAACTGTCAGCACACTCCATGGAGACTTGGGGAAGATACAAGCTGATCTTAATATAGAATATCTCTTACCAAAGCTTTAAGCTTCTGTGAACATATTACCTTCTAGGTCTATAGTTAATTTGACCTATCACTCCCAGAACAATATGTTAGTCTGCAGTTCTTTAGTTACTTCTGCTTATGCTTAGTGATGATCATGATAATTATATACTAATTAGGTTAATTAAATTATATAATGACTAACATAGCTAAATAAGTATTATAAAATTAAACAAAACGATATAATTAAGGTATTATACTCAATTAAATAATTGACTATGCAGTAGTAGTCTTTATCATTACTGTGTGTCTTATTTTAAAATTGTTTTTAAATTGCTATTCTAAAAGCTAAATAATTACTTTGTGCCAGACTAAAGAAACTCTATTATGCTGAGAAGGTTGTAATTTGCAAAATATGTTTAATTATCCACATCCTAGAAGTTCAAGAATTGTTTACTATTTAGATAGAAAATAGCTAAATTTATTGTCATCTACTCAAAAAGGTATAAGATGAACAAATCAATAATATAAACAATTCTAAAGGAGAGACATAATTACTTACAAAACATTTAAAAGCATCTGAGAATCCTCAACTGGCATTTGAATATTGTAGACAGAAAAAAAGAAAGCATATATTTTTCTTCAATAAAATATATTATTTATAGAGCCTATAGTTAGAAATATTGTGCTCCTGTCATTTGAGTCCCCGGACACCCCTCAAAATATTGAAATTAAAGTTTTGTATATTGTTTAATAATTCAGTTTATGATCATATAAATGACTTTCTCTCAATCAATATTGTTAATGAAAGTACTTATATTTAGCATTTTAAGTAATATTACATCTTGGTAAGACAAAATAGATAATTTCTGAAAGATACCTTTTTATATCAGGAGGATGGATAGATTATGATATAAATAAGCATCAGGTTTTAAAAATAATTTTATTATCATTACTTTCATGATATATTTTTATCTTATCACAATTAAGATGTTTATTGCTTATTTAGATCAAGACGTTTATTATTCTAATTTATGATACCATCAAATAATGTCTATTTTGAAGCGTGGAACTGACATTAGACTTTCTGGTTTTGTTTGTTTGTTTGTTTTTCAGAGAAAAGAGAGGTCAGATTTCAAAACCTAGATCTATAGTTGGACTCAGGACCTTGGATAGATGTATCCAGAATGGCTTCTGTTCCCAAATAGGGCCACTTGGAGATCAGACCGCTAAGAAAACAAGGTCCTAGATACAGGTAGATTGAGTGCCATGAAAGTTACTAGAATATGGTCTTTAGCACTAGGGACAATAGTTATTCAACAAGATTGAGGACCCTAATGGACACAATGTCATATGAACTAAGCAAAAATATTCATTCTGAAGACTTACAAAGGACAGAAGAGAAAAAGTTTCAGAATAATAGGTCACAACTCCTTAATTCCCTTTTTTTTTTCTGAGATGAATATTAACCTTAGAAATGTAGACATACTGAATCTACACTTAAGAGTAAGTGGATTCTACTATGTGGAAAAAAAAAAAGGCTGGGACTGTAGGATCAGGCAAAGTCCAGTGAATGCATCCCTATTTAGTAAAAACTAGAAATATAAATATTCAGCTTTGTATTCTTTTGTGGATTATTAAAATCTCTGTATCTAAGATATTAGATTGAGCTGTTACTGCTAATATGTGTTAATATAGTTGTCAATGATTATCAGGCCATGAATTACGTGCCTTTACTTGTAATCAAAATTCTCCATTTTTGCCTATTAACAGAATGGATTTCTAGTACTACTTCAATGTCATTCTCTTAAATAAGATGAAACCAAGTTTATTAGCATACTTCACACAGTTTTTGCTGATGTTTTCTTGTCAAGTCAAATAGTATATAAAGATAGAAATGAGAACCTGTTCTGGGTGACCTAATTTTTTTCCCTGAGATGACTAATATATATGCATGGAAATTAGTGTTTCAGAGTCCTGGAGTATTGCAAATAAAGTAGTAGTTGATTGTACCTCCTGGAATCAATTTCTTACAAGTGTTCAACAATATTAAGAAAGGTTAGATATTCCTATTTAAAACTGGGTTGATAGTCCTATTC
This sequence comes from Homo sapiens, assembly GCF_000001405.40. Taxonomy (NCBI): domain Eukaryota; kingdom Metazoa; phylum Chordata; class Mammalia; order Primates; family Hominidae; genus Homo; species Homo sapiens. The sequence continues at coordinate 31,263,314 of NC_000009.12, read as the reverse complement.
AGTGTATAAATCCTTAGATCATTTTCTTGAAATATGCTTGCAAAATCAGGCAGAAGCTTAGAAGCTAAGTGGATCTGTTCTATGCTATTCCAGCCTCAAATAATGAGGCTACCTTACTGGGTTTCTCTTTTCAGTAAGCATAAGTGTTTCTGCTGATGAGTAATTGATGGGCAGGACTACTTGTTTCAAGAGGGCAGTTATATGTTACCTGCTTAGAATCCATTACATTTACTGGAAAAAAAAAAAAAGTCACAAAACCAAGAAAAAACTCAGAATTATTACTAGCAAGTGGAAAAAAGTACTATCAGTTGGCCAAACTCTTAATGGATATCTAAATGTATGTTGCAGATGGAATTATATTGTGAGGCAAAGAAAACTGTCTAAATGTCAAGTAGAGACTGTTGTAAAATATGTGAATGGAACACAGTACCATGCTGGTACCACATGTTCAGAGCAGCAGAGGCTCGTAGCAAGATTGTGATATGGAACAGTGTATGGAACACAAATCAAAGGACTACTATAATTGCAAAGTTGAGTAGTGACAGGCCATAATGGCCACAGAGGTGAAAATACATATTATCTTGTTCCTTAAAGAAAAGTTTGCCAACTATGTAGATGATTCAACTGATTTAATACATTTTACTGGCATCCAAGAACCTTGTTAAATTTATTAATCAACACTCTTATTTTTTTTCTAGAGTACTTTGGGCTTTCTACGTATGCAATTATGTCATTTAGAAATAATGACAGCTTTATTTTCAGGGTTCCAATTTTGTACTTCTATTTCTTTTTTTTTCTGTTATACAGTTTAGTTACTCTAGTTGAATAGAAATGTTGATAGAAAACATTAGAGACTTCTTTTTGAATTCTGAAGAAGCTAATTCAGTATTTGATCTATAAATATGAAGTTATATGCAGGGGCTTTTATCTTTTTAATGATATCTCTTATAGAGTAATAGAGTATGATTTCCCTTCTATTACCTTTTTGTTTTTTTGTTTTGTTTTGTTTTGTTTTTTGACATGGAGTTTAGCTCTTGTAGCCCAGACTGGAGAGCAATGGTACAATCTTGGCTCACTGTAAACTCCTCCTCCACGGTTCAAGCGATTCTCATGACTCAGCCTATTGAGTAGCTGGGATTACAGGCGCCTGCCACCATGCCCGGCTATGTTTTTTGCATTTTTAGTAGAGACGAGGTTTTACCATGTCGGCCAAGCTGGTCTCGAACTCCTGACCTCAGGTGATCCACACACCTCGGCCTCCCAAGGTGCTGGGATTACAGGCGTGAGCCACCGTACCCGGCCACTCTACTACTATTTAATAGAGAGTTTCAAATATATATCAATCAAATGTATTTCCAAGACATATTGATTAGTAAAACTCCAGTGCTTATAATATATAGCCATTTATTTGAAAATACTAAGTATAATATATGCATGCACACATGTATACATACACATACACACATAAGAATACGTATGTAAGGGGTATTTTGTGGAAGGATTTACAGAAAAACACAACAGTGTTTATGTCTATTAAATAGGGTAGGGAATCTTAGTGTGAAACTCATTTTCATTTTTTTTATCATTTTGTATGTATACATGATATACATTTTCTTTTTATTATTTTTATAAAAATGATGACAATAAAATGCAAAGTTTAAAAAGCGCATGTCAGAACATTTTGTGTACCTCCTGATTATGAAAATAATTTTGTTTTTATATAACTAATTACTATAGAGCTTTTATGATGTGCCAGGCACTCTTATGACTGCTTTATAGAATGTAACTCATGTTCATATGAAAATAGTAAAATGAAAGTATCCTCCAAATACTTAGAATGCCATCTTGTAGGAATTGAATTATAAGAAAATTATGTTTTTATTTTATACTTTCAAACTATATTAAAATATTAACATTTAATATAATTTAATTTTTGGAAGTACTAATTTGCCATTTTACTTCATGCAAATAGACAATAGGCATTTTTATTTCATGTAGATATTTTATGATTTTTATTTTCTATGAAACAAGAATATGATTATTGCTTCACATTGGAGATAGATACCGATATAGATAGATAGATAAATTCTTTTTTGAGACATGATCTCACTCTGGTCACTCAGGCTGGAGTGCAGTGGCACGATCTGGGATCACTGCAACCTCTGCCTCCCAGGTTCAAGTGATTCTCCTGCCTCAGCCTCCCAAGTAGCTGGGACTACAGGCGTGCAACACCATGCCTGGCCCTAATTTTTGTATTTTTAGTAAAGTTGAGGTTTCACCATGTTGGCCAGGCTGGTCTCAAACTCCTGACCTCAAGTGATCCACCAGCCTTGGTCTCCCAAAGTGCTGGGATTATAGGCGTGAGCCACCATGCCCGGACTGCACTGGGGATATCTTTCTAAATGTTGGTGTTGGAAGCCATCAGATCTAGATTTCGGTAAGACTTGATTTGATTATGCACATATACCTATAGTTTTTTAGGTCTAATTAACATAGTTGTTTAGAATCTGTAAAAAAGGCAGAAGTTTGGGATTGATTTTTTTAATTGAGCAGTTTGCTGTGTTTTCTGATTACAAATTACCATCAACTATACTTCTCTGGCCCCGACAAAAACAAGAGTTTTCCTTGTTTTTCACAAATTGCTTTTTTACTTGGAGGTGGTGGTGCCTATGTGTGAATCATTTACATTGTATATTCCAGTCATTGCGTCTTCATCCTGTGAATAAGCAACCATCACATCCAAGTTGTACAATGTGATTTAAAGAGTTTTATGAATGGATATATCTCTCATGTTTATGAAAAATATATTAATCCTTTACAAGTAGATGTCAGTTGTGGATAGTTATTTCATAAATATGCTCTTCTTCAGGCTTCTCTTGAATCTCAGTGTGTGCCCTAGAAACTGAGGAGATATGTTGGCCAAAGGAAATATCCAAATCATTACTATGAGTTCTGTGTCCCTTTGTTTTTTCTGTATGTTTAAAAGTATTTATCTATGGAAATGCAAATATTGTTCTACCACCTGCATATATCTGCTTTTCTTTACTCTAATTTGCCTTTGGGTTATTACCACTGTGCTTTACTTGGTAATAACCCAACTCTTTTTGCAGAAAGTAACTTCTATTGCCATTGCTGAAAAACCCTTTCACTCTCTTTTGTCATGTCTTACTGTTTCAGAGCGTATTTTGTTTGATCTTAACTATTGCTTGAGGCAAAACAGGTGGTTCCCTTCCTTGTTTTAAACCACAGCAGATCAAGGTTCTCTGATGATGGTAAACCTGAAGCCTTTATAAAGCCAAACTTGTTGTGTGCAAACTTTTCTCATTTTGCACCTGTCGTTTTTCATCAGGGTTCATCATAGCTACCTCATGCTGTGTAGCCACATGGCCACCAAAATGACACTTACCATTACAAATAAGAGCACAGCTTGAGGTCTTACCAGCTTTTGTAGAAAGAGAATGTTTGAGGGAAAATGAAAATGAAAAAAAAAAAAAAAGAATTTAACTCATTTAAGAATATTCCATATATTTTTATTCTTGTGTTTACTATTTAAGGTCATACACTATATATTGATTTTTAAATATATTTCAGAAAGAAGACTGATGAGAAATAGATGGAAGAGTATATAGGAAGAATGATGACCTTAGTGATTGCCATTAGGTAGTTTATTAATCTTTCCCACTGAAAAATAATGAAAGGAAAGTAAATGGAAATAAAGCAAAAATGGCTCAAGTGACTCAATATAATAATATATAATATAGTATATAGATTATACATATGTATGGATATATATGTACATACACACACATATACACATACACACAAATATATATAATTTATATTTATGCTCTTTGCCAATTAAAATATTGATCTCACTATTTTATGCAACGCTAATTACTTAGAAATAAGTGTAATTTGCTCATCGGTCTGAATAAGAGGTTACTATTAATTTTATACATTTCTGCTTTTTCTGCATTTTTATGAAAAAACATCTTTACTATTACAGAAAAATCTATATTTAAAACCAATATTTAAAATATTATGAATTATGTAAACATACTTAAAACACAGTAAAGCAGCACATTAAATGTATGCACACACACATAAAACTGGTATCATCTATACCAAACTCTAAAAGGTATGGTTCCAGGTAGTTGGACAATGCATAGTTTATGTTCTTTATTTAGTTTTTCTGGATTTGCTACATTTTCTCCTATAGATATATACAATATAAAATAAGGAAAATAACTTTATTTGAAAAAGAGAAATTTAAACCCATACAAATCACTGTGACAAGGGGAATAATCTGAAGTTAATTCAAACTTCACTAAACCCAGCAAAATAAGTATGAGGTAATTATTTTTGTGGGAAGGTAATTGACCTGTGCATTTAATATAGTTTGAGGTAACTATGCAAATAAAGTTTTATTATTATCAAAAGTATAGCCAGATAATATGGGAGACAAATTTCAAACAATTTAGAAGAAAAATATACAAGAGGTGACAGCATGAGATGATGTAAAAAAAAAAAAAGTAATGCAAGTTTTCTGCTGTTTTCTGAAGTGAATTTGCTTTTAGTATTTTTAATGACATCAAAGAAGGGAAACAAAGTACCCAAAATGCAAGTTATGAAATGTCTATACAATGGTTAGGGAAAAATGATACGAAAAGGGATTTAAAATGAAGACATGTAAAAGAAAATATATTTTATGACATTTTCTTTCAGGCCAAGTGTTAAGTATATCATATACATTATTAAAACAGGTTTCAGAGACAAAGTAGCTTCATGAATTGTTCCTATAATATGAGTTGTATCTATCTTGACTCTGCTAAATAATTATCAAAGTCAACATTCTGGATGTCCCAGAAAGGAGAAATCAAGACTTGTAAGAACACTAAAATGTAATTATATCCTAGAGATTTTCTAAATCTAGAACTTTCCATTTTTATATCTAAAGAGATCTACAAAACCAGCCTGTGATGATTTAAGTTCATTTTTTCAAGTGAATGCTAGTAATTTCTTAGTAATGCTTAATTAGTAATGCTTAATATTAGTAATTTATACCTCAAAACTGAAAAGATGTAGTTCTGAGACAGAAGAGAGCATCTGTGGTTATTTTGGTTATGAATTTTTTGATAATGGCTAGCATGAGGGTGAAATACATGTGTATAAATATATGTATAGCCACACATACATATATACACACACATATACATATATATGTATATATATGTGTGTGTATATATATATACACACACACACACACATCCACTATATTTATTGGACTATATGTTCAGAAACTGCTATGGTAATCATACCCAATGTCTATTTGATTTACTTCTCTATACAAATTGTGCTCAGTAAATATTTGTTAAATTGAAATTTTTTCTCAAAAATACACTTATTTAAAAGATGAATTTACAAACATCTGCATTTACCTTAACACAGCAATGATTTTATGTATAAGGCCCAGTGACCGCAGAAATTAATTAACAGTTTTAAGTATTAATCTTAAATAGTTTCTCATGGAATGGCTCACAGATTGAATTCTGTGTCACTATGAGCATTCAAAACCCTAAATGCAGTTAAAAATAAACTACCTGCTATTGCAGTGAAATTGCCAGTGAATTAGCACTTAAGCAATTTTAGCAAAGCAGGTGTACAAGCATGCTGCCACCTCAGAACTCTTCCTCAGATATTATCCATTGTGAATGGAAAATGGTAAAATGCCATAGGTAGAGAGAAATTTTTTGAATTTAAATCTCATTTTCAAAGTACCCTTTTAGTGCCATTTAGTGTGAGAAGAATATTGACAATTTATGTAACTTTCTCCAGTTTAACATATGCTATAACTTTTATTCCGTATAAAATTCCTGCTTTCTTCATGGATTTCCTTTTCTAATGATAGGAGTGAGTTTTAGTTAGGAAAATTATACCCCAAAGATACAGTTAAAATTAATTTTAACTGTGACTTGAGTAGTTTTCAATTTTTCTATTTGAGTTAAATTACAGTAAATCATCATGCGTATTAATTCCATTTGATATAATTTATTTAGTGTTCATGAAATTGATGTTTTTTTAATCAAGAATGTCCCATTATTATTATGCAGAAAGTTAAAAAAAGTGATAAAATAAATTTATTGAAGGTTATCTAAATTTATAGTTAGTTTTTACCTGATTTTAATTAATAAATATGGGATTGTCAGTTGAACACTTAAAAAGCCTCTTTTCATTTTCATAGTTTTATACAATTTTTAAATACAAAGTTTACACTATGTTGATTATAAATATTATATTTAAAATTAATATTTATGTTTTATACTTTTATTTATAATTGATGACTCAAATCTTTCTATATTTAAGATAGAGCCCACTGGTGTGAAACAAATGTTTGTAGATTCAGTCATTCAACATCATAATCAATTGTTCTGGCAATTCGATTTCAAAAGTTGAAACTTAAAATTTTTATAGTTTTGCTGTAAAAACAGGTGATAGTCGGGGATAGTTGACCAGAAATTTACAAAGAGAATATCTTATTGTGTAAAAAAATCACTCAAGAAATCTCTATCTGAATTATTTTATCATAAGAGCAAAACCAATCAGTTTTGAACTACATCACCCAGAGAATACATTTACATCTTTAGTCTCTCTTTTCATAGTTCTAACACTCTTTGCCTATAAATTTCAAAACTGTATTATGTTTCCAAGGAGATAAAGGTAAACACTTGTCCTTGAACAATTATTCTCTCCAATATTCCATTGAATTCCTTTTACATTGAATTATTTTTATCTGATATTAGTATTGCTTCAATTTTTTTATTAGTAATTGTCTAATTTGTCTACTTCTATTCCTGTATTTTCAGTTTTTGTGTATCTTTTTTGAATGTCTTAAACATTTTTATCATAACAATTTTAAGCATTATTTAATCCAATTTGTGAGTGTTTTTAAAGAATTATATTTAACTTACATTTATTGTCCTTGCTATATGTATAATGCATGTGTATGTATGAGGCTAACCTTATTTTTTTTAATCACCATGCATTCTTGCTGTAATAATTTACTGACTGATTTGCATTTCCTGCATTTAGTAAACTGATGCATTTTGCTTGTTCTGTGTTTCTTCCAACACCTCATCTTTAAAGGTTTTCTTGTTAAACATCATCTATTCTGTAGTACCTTAAATATTTAACACCTATTTATACATGTTTTTGATAAATTTTTAAAAGTAATTAATAAATGCATTTACCCAATAAAGAAGATCACTTGTGATAAGAGCTTGACTTCTGCTTTAAACTCTCCAACTTGATAAACAGTAATTAACATTTTAAAGCATATTGATATTTTAAATTTATTAATCAACAATTATTTAGGCTTCACTTCCAATGTATTATATATTAATGCTATCATAATGTATATATTCTTAAGAAAATTACTTTTTAAGATTATCTATTTAAAGCTTTTCTATGTTGACAAACTGATACAATAATACTGTTTTTTAAAACAACAATATTACTATGGTCGTCAATTTGCTATTTGAGCAGGGCTTTGCAGGAACAGCTTGTCTTTGCTGTACTTAGTTAGCATCATTAGGGTTACTCTGAAGCTGGATGTTAAATCACCACAGTTTGTTTACTCGCATATCTGGCAGTTGATCCTGGCTGTCAGCAGGGTCCTTAGCTAGACCTATGTGCTTAAATGTGTCAACATGACTTCTTCATGTAGCCTCAGCCTCTTCATAACATGACGTCTGAGTTCCAAAAGGCAAGGGTCCTAAGAAAAAGTCAAGTGGAAGCTGCACCGTCTTTCTAAGCTCGCCTAATATATTACTTAGTCTCACTTCTGCTACCTTCGATTTGTTTATTTATTTAATTATTCCCCCCCGCCAGCCCCGCATCCTGTGTTTAATGTTTCGCAGCAGGATGCCCAACATAGAACATAATTGAAAGTACTCGGCTGTGCAAAAGAGGGACTAGTGCTTAAGTACAAATGGGGAACATGATTCTTTTGTTTTAAATAAATACTTAAACACGACTTGGATCCTACAAGCATCTGGACTTCTAGGTCTGAGTATTGGAGTGCCTCGCCCGTGGGCCCACCAGGACACCCTAGTTCCCTTCCCCTAGTGATCAAGACTTGGAATCCGGTACCGATGGTTGGATCACAATGCGCCCCTTTTCTTTTCTCTTTTCTTTTCCTTTTTTTTTTTCTTTTCTTTTTTCCTTTGAGACGTAGTCTCGCTCTGTCGCCCAGGCTGGAGTGCAGTGGCGCGATCTCGGCTCATTGCAAGCTCCGCCTCCCGGGTTAACGCCATTCTCCTGCCCCAGCCTCCCGAGGTAGCTGGGACTACAGGTGCCCGCCACCACGCTCAGCCAATGAGCCCCTTTTCTAGAGCCTTTCCTGGCCATCTACAGGCAGGGTCCGGCTGGGAAAAAGACGACTGGAATTTCTCGAATGTCGATGGTTTGCACACTTGAGGATTCTACGTGGTTCTCTTGGTTCCTTTGGTGTGTGTGTGGAGGATGCCAAGGCCCTTAGCTGACCTTCAGCTCGTCGTACAGGACCAGCACGAAGCCCGCCCCCACCCCCATGCCTTTGAGGGCGTTGGACCACACACCCTTGAAAAAGGCCTCGCCCCGCTCATCTCTGAAGATCTTCCTCCAACAGTCGACGGTGCCCGTGTACATGATGTCAGCTCCTTTGCGCCGGGACTGCATCATCGTCCGCCGCCGCACTGTGTCGAAGGGTTAGGAGAGCACGCCAGCCACGGCCGTCACGGTCTGCGCGGTCATCCAGCTCACCAGGATGTGTGTGTTCTTGGGGTCGGGGAACATGCCATTGGCCGTATCGTACACCCTGAAGTAGGCTGCCTGGTAGATGATGATGGCCTGCACGGAGACGCTGAAGCCCTGGTAAAGGCCCCGGATGCCGTCGGACTTGCTGATCTTCACTAGGCAGTCTCCCAGGCCTCGGAACTCGCGCTCCGTGCCTGACTTTCCCACGTCGGCTGCCAGGCGGGTTCTGGTGAAATCCAGGGGATACACGACGGCCGTGCCGCCAGAGGCCAGGTTGCCCGCAAAGTACCTGCAGAACTGCGTGTGCTTGTCCACGCCCGCCAGGAAGATCTGCTTGTACTTATCCTTGAAGGCGAAATTGAGGGCTTGCGTGGGGGAGTAGCGGATGACATTGGCCAGGTTGCCCCTCCAGAAGGACAGCACGCCCTGATCTTTGGGGATGCGGACGATGCAGTCCACGATGCCCTTGCACTGCTTGGCGGCGGCCATCGGCATGCTGGCGTGCTGCATCTGCAGCAGCAGCTGGACCCGCTTGATCGATGCCACGGCTGTCTTGGAGATAGCGGCGGTGATGCCTCCAGCTAGGAAGTCCTTGGCGAAGGAGATGGCTTGTTCCGTCATGGTGGCCTGGCGGGCAGCGGAGCGGGTGGCGGAGCGGGCGGACAGCAGGAGAGCAGGCGCGGAGAGTGAAGGGAGGGCGTCGCTGGCTCAGCCCTGGCCACCAGGACCGAAAGCAGCTACAGTCTATTTATTAATTATGATCTCCAAAGGTTCCCACCTCCTTATAGAAGAGAGGCAAGGTTCTGGAAGAGTAGGTTGGACTGAGATATTGCCATGACCATTATGAAAAATATAGCCTGCCACGGTCTTCCTTGTCATCAAAACAGCTCTTATTCTGCTCACATGCTGAATATAATCATCTGTGTCCCAGGCCTCCACCCATAAAGTCTCATTCTACCAGAGATTCCGGCTTAGGTATAGGAGTTCCAGGTGTGGATGAGTTTTCTTGGGTGTAGCACTTCAATTGTAGCTCCGCTGATTTTCTCTCAATTTGAAAACTTGTAAATTAATGAGGCAAGTCCTCTGTCCTCTATATTCAACATATAATAGAGAGAAACACGTAGGATAACTATAATAGATGCTTTTACTCCAAAAGGCAGCAATGGGAGGCTTGCCATCATTGGTCCTAGCAATTCTGAAACCCACTGAGTGCTGTTTGTCAGTTCCTCGCTTCCCTAACCACACTCAGTCCTAATTCTTTGGTCTAATGTTCCGTGACTCTTTGCTGTGCCCATTGGGCTTACATCTTTGCATCACCAGTTATTCTTCCTTTTCAATTAAAAAAATATATCATGCTTGCAACCGAGTAGTTTTCTCAGCCTCCTTGCTGCCCATGGTAGTTCAAGGGTCTACATAACACTCTTCATTGTTACTTTGTCTGTTTCAGTTCAAGCTGACATAATTTGCTTAAAATCTGTGTGAGTTTTATCTAATTCCATTATAATGCAATCTATTAGATAAAAGCCACACCCCAAAACTTCATTAAAGTAAGCTCTTCTTTATGCAGGAGTTTAGAGATGTTAGACCATTTTCAGATAGTCTTTACTATTTCTTATAAGAAATTCATGAATTATTTGTATCATTGTCTATTTAAATGTAAACTGTACTGTTTCTCTGGATACTATCAATATTATTTATTTTGTTTAAAGTTGTACTATGATAGCACAGGGGATTGTTTTCTTTTTCTTCTCTTTTTCTTTTCTTTTCTTGTTTTTTTTTTTTTTGAGACGGTATCATTCTGTCTGTCACCACCCAGGCTGGTGTGCAGTGGTGTGATCATAGCTCACTGTAGCCTGGATCTTCCTGGTTTCAGGTGATTCTTCCCCCTCAGCCTCCCTAGTAGCTGGGACTATAGGCGTGTGCCACCACACCCAGCCAATTCTTGTATTTTTAGTAGAGACAAGGTTTTGCCTTGTTGCCCAGGCTGGTCTCAAACTCTTAGACTCAAACAATCCACCAGCCTCAGCCTCCCAAAATGTTGGTACTACAGGCATGAGCAACCACGCTAGGCATAGGATATAGTTTTCTTTGTATTAATTATGCTTGATGCTCACTGAGCTTTTATAGCTTCAAGTTAATAAATACTTGGCTGTTATTTTATCTTGTTTTTTTCCTAACCTTTTCCACCTTTTTTTTTTTCTTGCTAGACTCACTTAGCATTTTCTGACTTAACACACTGATATTGCCTTACAGGACTCTATGTATATATTTTATTTGTTCATAGAATTCATTTTTAGTTCTTTTTCTTAGTTTCCATGTATTTGCTATTTCCCATCTGTTTGTTCATTTTGTTAACGTTTCATCTGAGGATCTTGAATATATGTGTAATACCTTTAAAAATATCCTTGTATGTTAGCTCCAACATCTGATCATAGTGATGACTGTTTTTTTCTTTTTTTATATATTTTTTTCACTTTTGTGGGTACATAGTAGATGTATCTATTTTTGTGGTACATATGACATTTTGTTACAGGAGTGCAATGCATAATAATCATATCATGGAAAATGGAGTATTTATTCACTCAAGCATTTATCCTTTGCATTATAAACAATCCAATTATACTCTTGTCATTATTTTAAAATGTACAATTACATTATTGTTGACTATAGTCACCCTTTTATGCTATCAAATACTAGGTCTTATCTATTTTTTTTTGTACCAATTAACAATTCCCACCTCCCCACCAACCCCCTACTATACTTCCCAGCCTCTAGTAACTATTTCTATTTTTACTCTCTATTTCTATGGGTTTAATTGTTTTGATTTTTAGATCCTACAAATAAGTGAGAACATGTGATGTTTGTCTTTCTGTTCCTAGCTTATTTCACTTAACGTAATGACCTCCAGTTTCATCCATGTGGTTGCAAATGACTGAATGCCATTTTTTTCTTATGGCTGAATAGCACTCCATTGTGTGTAAGTACCACATTTTTCTTATCTATTCATCTGTTGATGGACACTTCAGTTGCTTCCAAATCTTGCCTATTGTGAACAGTGCTGCAACAAACATAGGAGCGCAGATATCTCTTCAATACACTGATTTCCTTTCTTTGGCATAAATACCCAGCAATGGGATTGCTGGATTGTATGGTAGCTCTACTTAAGTTTTTTGAAGAACCTTCAAAGTGTTCTACGTAGTGGTTGTACTAACTTTCATTCACACCAACAGTGTACGAGTGTTCTCTTTCCTTCACATTCTCTGCAGCATTTGTTATTACCTGTCTTTTGGAAATAAGCAATTTTAACTGGAATGAGATGATATCTCATTGTAGTTTTGATTTGCATTTCTCTAATGATCAGTGATATTGAGCACCTTTTCACATGTCTGTTTGCCATTTGTATGTCTTCTTTTGAGAAATGTCTATTCAAATTATTTGCCCATTTTAAAATCAGATTACTGGATTTTTTTTTCTTGTGGAGTCATTGGAGCTCCTTATATATTCTAGCTATTAACCTTTTGTCAGATAGATAGTTTTCAGATATTTTGTCCCATTCTGTGGGTTGTCTCTTCACTTAATGGATTGTTTCCTTTGCTGTGCAGATTTTCAACTCCACATGATCCCATTTATCCGTTTTTGCTTTGGTTGTGCTTGTGGGGTATTACTCAATAAATTGTTCCCCAGACTGATGTCTTGGACAGTTTTCCCAATGTTTTCTGGTAGTAGTTTAATAGTTTAAGGTCTTATATTTAATTTTTTAGTTCATTTTTATTTGAATCAATATTTTATCTGAATCTCTTATATGGTAAGAGACAGGGGTCTGGTTTCATTCTTCTGCATATTGATATCCAGTTTTCCCAGCATCATTTATTGAAAAAACTCTTTTCCTCAGTGTATTTTTGGCACCTTTGTTGAAAGGTAAGTTAAGTTGAAAATGACTTCTCTGAGGGTATGTGGATTTGCTTTTAGGTTCTTTCTTCTGTTCCACTGGTCTATGTTTCTGTTTCTATGCCAGGACTATGCTGTTTTGGTTACTGTAGCTCTGTAGTGTAATTTGAAGCCAGTAATGTGATTCCCTCAGTTCTGTTCTATTTGCTTAGGATAGCTTTGGCTATTCTGGGTCTTTTGTGATTGCATATAAATTTTAGGATTTTTTTTTCTAGAATGTCATTGATATTTTGATAAGGATTGCATTGAATTTGTAGATTGCTTTGAGTAGCATGGACATTTTAACAATGTTGATTTTCCCTTCCATGAACATGGAGTATCTTTCAAGTTCCTGGGGACTTTTTCAATTTCATTAATCAGTATGTTATAGTTTTCATGTAGTATGTGTTTCTCAGATTCATTTGTTATTTTTCGATGGAAAGGAAGAGGGAGTCATTGTATTGTAACAACATATGGGCTTTCAGGTTGGAACATACCAAGGCTGGAATTCCACTTCTGCTAATTGCAGAAGGTGAAAATACCTGGTAGAGTAACTAGACAAAAGTGGCACTAGCTAATTTTAGTTTTCATCTTTAGATGAGAAAAATCAAGATATTTTATGTCAGATTATAATTTTGCATAAGTAGATAACAATGGCAGAAATGATTTATTTCCATTTTTGATTGGTCTTTATTTTCAATTGATGCAAAGTGTTTTATTTTTAAGATAGTATAGTAGTAGCAGCAAAATAAAAATTACTGTGCAATCTTCATGTGTCTACTAAAAACATTGATGTGGCTCTTAAATGTGTGTATCAAAGATGGAGTAAGTTTCTGGAGAGAACTGAAGCACACAGAGACATATAATAATTAATCCTAAATTGTTGACAAACTTGTTTAATATCTTTAAATGTTATGGAGAACAATCACTGGGGCACCAGAGCTGAAAAAAGAAATGAGTAATACATTTTGCCTACAGTAATGTGCTAGAAATCAGTGGAAAAGTAAATTATTGTGATGGCATAGTTGTCATTAGTTCATATACTTTATGGTGGTATGCACTTTCTCTAATAGTGTCCAAACTCATTTAATAAAACCACGAGCACATCTCTGGGGAACCTGAGTGGGAAAATATATATATATATATATATATATATATATTTTTTTTTTTTTTTAACAGTTTTGCTCTTGTTGCCCAAGCTGGAGTGCAATGGCACGATCTTGGCTCACCGCAACCTCCGCCTCCTGGGTTCAAGCAATTCTCCTGCCTCAGCCTCCTGAGTAGCTGGGATTACAGGCATGTGCCAGCATGCCTGGCTAATTTTGTATTTTTATTGGGATCAGGGTTTCTCCATGTTGGTCAGGCTGGTCTCGAGCTCCCGACCTCAGGTGATCCACTCGCCTTGGCCTCCCAAAGTGCTGGGATTACAGGCGTGAGCCACCGGGACCAGCCTGGAAAATATTTTAAGTAAGCGAAGTTCACATGGAGCTGGAGGCCATTATCCCTAGCAAACTAATGGGGGAACAGAAAACTAAATATTGCAGTGCTAGGGTTTGAGTTTGATTTGGAGTCTGTAATTTTGCCATTTCTATATGTGTCATGATCTACGGTAAGGGATATTTAAAACTCTGCCATCCAGTCACTCATAATAAAAAAATACATTTGAATAGGCTGATTGATGATAAATATTCTATATATCTAAGACATCCATGTTCAACATGAATTTAGGTATTGTGATTGCTATGACTTGGAAAATAAACTCTCTGTTTTCTGACATTAAAACCTATAGAAACAATCTCCTCTCATTTTCAGTAGCAAAACAAATAACACTGTCTCATGCCATATCCATTTCTTATTTACTCAGCAGAATTTCCCATGGGTGGTAATTAATGTTTAGGACAGGTGGATTTTTCAGGTTTGGGGTTTCAGCTACCCGAAAGTTAGTTGAATTACCCCAAGATTTATTTTCTTATAATTAATATCCTGGGAAAATGATATGCCTTTTATACTATGACTAAAATTTTGTATAGAACAGCAACAGGAAATCTGTTTTTCTACCAACTGTGATTTCTTTTAGCTCTGAAAGAGAGACGTGTGAATAATAAATAGATGTACTGAACTTGAGAGAAAAGTGTTTTTCTGTGTCAAAGATTTGAATGTAAGTTGCAAGCATAATTCTGGTTTACTGCACATCTGTAGTGACTTTGTAAGGAACAATAAGTTTATTATGTCAAGGGCAGCATGAGTCAATGGTTTTAGGGGATTTAATAATAACCATGAAAAATCTGTACTATGTTATATTGGCTGTGACATATCTTGCAAAGTGTCATGTAGGACTTGCTGAATTGTATCACTGAAGGCTGCAATCCTTAAGCAGAGAAAGTTCTTTAAAAGTAGGTCACTGTGTTCTTCTGTATAATCAGATAGAAATAGCCAGAAAGCATTTTATGACACTCAAACAACAAAAATGAAAATCATATTATTCACTCATTTTAAGTTGTAACCCATAATAGACACTACATAAATGATCTTATTATCTAAATGTCAGTTAGTGAAGAGTGAATCTTCAAAAGTTTTGAGTTTCAGTTGTTTAGAGTAATATAGTAGATATGAAAAAGTGAGGTATTCAGAATAATGCTTAGCGTTCTATTTCATCTACTCCGGAAGCTAGTATGGTATGAACAATTCAGGTAATAATGATATGGATCGTATGGCAGTAGTAGTAAAATGATAATGAAAAATTACTGTACACTCTCTATGTGCCTATTAAAAACATTTAATATTTCCCTTAAATGTGTGTATTAACGATGGGGTAAGATTATGGAGAGAATTGAAGCATGCAGAGATTTGTTGGTGAACTGCAACTTCTTTTCTTAAAGAGAGTTACCAATACTTTTAATATCAGTTAGTGGCTGAAAATCTTAAGCTTTGACTCACCAGAGGTCATTTCTACACGGCAGATATTTCAGCAGAGACTTTAAGGGTGTGATGGATCTACAGTAAATATATTAGAGATCAGTAGGGCTTCAAGCACACTGATAATTTCTCTCTCAAGTTATTTGGTAAATAATGAAGTTGCATTGGGAAGGAACATAAAAAGTCTAGGGAGAAAGTATATAAATAGAAGAGAAGAGTTTTTATTTTTGTCTGTTAAATTTTCTTGCACTGCCATCAAGGACTCAAGATTATAGTTCAGGGACCATGAGAGGAAGGGTTTCCATGTAAAGCTCTCCATTTAAAGAATGTAGGTAAAGAAACATAGCGTAAAGAAACATAGTGGTGAATGTTCATTGCACCACTATTCACAATAGCAAAGATATGGAATCAACCTAAATTCCCGTCAATGACAGATTGGATAAACAAACTGTGGTATATATGCACCATAGAATACTATGCAGCCATAAAAAGAGCAAGATCATGTCTTTTGTAGGAACGTATATGGAGCTGGAGGCCATTATCCCTAGCAAACTAATGGGGGATCAGAAAACTAAATATTGCATGTTTTCACTTGTAAGTGGGAGCTAAATGATAAGAACTCATGGACACAAAGAGGGAATGATAGACACTGAGGCCTATGTATGGGTGAACAGTGGGAGCAAAAAAAAAAAAATAATAACTTTTGGGTACTAGGCTTAGTACCTGGGTGATGAAATAATTTGTACAACAAACCACAGTGGCACAAATTTACCTATGTACCAAACCTGCACATGTACTCCTGACATAATATGAAAGTTTTTTAAAAGCCCAGAAAAAAAAAAAGAGGGAACAAACAGAAAATAGCAGATTAAGACTTACAACAATAATTACATTAAATGTAGATGACCTCATTAAAACAATTGAACTCATGCAAATAGAGAGTAGAATGGTGGCTACCAGAGGTTGGGAAGAGTAGTGTGAGGGTAGGAGGGACATTAAGGAAAGAAGAGATGGTTAATGGTTACAAAAAAAAATTTAGAATGAATAAAATCTGGTATTTGATAGCACAACAGTGCATCTATAGTCAATGTTAATTTAATTGTACATTTAAAAATAACTAAAAGCGTATAATTGGATTGCTTGTAACACAAAGGATAAATGCTTGAGGTGGATATACCATTTACCCTGATGTAATTGTTATACTTTGTATGCCTGCATCAAAATATTCCATATAGCTCATAAATATATATACCTACTATGTACTCACAAAAATTAAAATTAAATTTTTTAAGAAAAATGTAAATGGTCCAATATACCAATTAAGAGATTGAAAGCATGGATTAGGCTGGGCACGGTGGCTCAGGCCTGTAATCCCGTCATTTTGGGAGGCCGAGGAGGGTGGATCATTCGAGGTCAGGAGTTAAAGACCAGCCTGGCCAACATGATGAAACCCCGTCTCTACTAAAAATACAAAAATTAACCAGGCCTGGTGACGGGCGCCGGTAATCCCAGCTACTCGGGAGGTTAAGGCAGGAGAATCCCTTGAACCCGGGAAGTGGGGGTTGCAGTGAGCTGAGGTCGCGCCACTGTACTCCAGCATGGGAGACAAAGTGAGACTCCCTCTCAAAAAAAAAAAAAAAAAAGTGGATTAGAAACATAACGCAACTAAAAAGAATAAATAAATTAAATATAAAGAATATAGTTAGCTGCACTTCAGGAACAAATGTGACACAGAGATAGAACAGAGACCTAAAAAAAGTTTAACTTAGGCTTTATTTAGCCCAGACATGATGGAATTGAAGTAGTAATTTCACAGCAGCAGCAAAGATGAAACTATCTTGAATAAAGGTAACATAATCTGGATATTTACAAAATTTGAAAATACTGCCTAACATTCAATAAAATAATTTCTAGGCATGCCAAGAGAAAATATGTTACTGAAAACAAGAGAAAAAGGAGATAATAGAAATGGACCCACAAGAAATTTAGATATTGAAATTATCAGGTAAATACTTTCAATAATCATTAATTTGTCAAGAAAAGAGAGTAAATAAATGACACAAGAAATGAACATATGGATGGCTTTACCAGATAATCGCATTTATTAAAATAAGTTATATAAAACTTCCTGAATGAAATATAATATCTCAAATCGAATATTAGACATAGGAGAAAACGTGATGAGTTCACCAGAAGACAGATTGTTAGAGAATATTCAAGCTGAAGCAAAGCCAGAAAAAGAGGGAAAATGGAAAAGTCAATTTTAAGGCACATGTGGGAAGAAGATTATTTCAGAAAGCAAGTTAGAGGCTAATTTGTTTAGATTCTTCTGTGGAGTTAATTTAAATCTTTGGCTATTATGTGAAGTGTAATGAGAGCAACTGAAGAGTTTTATGCTGTGGAGTGAGTAATCTGATACATGTTTTGAAGACTTATCTGGCTGCCCTGTAGAAGATAGGTGGGGGCAGCCACTGGAGAAGCAAATATAGTAGTCCAGGTCATCAATAATAGTGATCTGGATTGTGGGGTATCAACGGACAGTTTGAAGATTTGGCTTAAGGCATTGATCATTTATTGGATATAAGAGATAAAAATAGCATAAAATTGTTCTAGAATGTTATGAGAGTATTTCTTCATTAAAGGTTTAGAGACTTAGACATTTTTATGTCAGCTGTCATAACCACTTTTTATTTATGGCAAGAATTACAGTGTGTGCGCATGTTTGTGTGTGTATGAGAGAGAGAGAGAGAGACAGAGACAAAGAGATGGATACCTGATATGTATCAGATATTAAGATAATCCTTTGAGAACATAAAAATGTAATACTCATGTCTGAAGGATTTTTAAAATTGTACTTTTTCTGTGTGATTATCTATAGTCTACTTTCCTGTATCAGCTATAAGTCAAATAAAATTAAAAATGCCACTTTTTATTTCATCTACAAATACGATTATATTAATGCCAATTATCTACAATATTGTATTACAATATAAAAAAATAGAAAAACACCAGGGATTAGATTTGCGATTACGATTTCTATTTACTATTTAGTATTTCTATTTGCTATTACTGTTAGTATTGCTATTTCAATAATCTGGGTGGATAAATAGAAAAAATGAGAATGAGATATAAAAGACTAGATAAGGGGAGAAAAAGTGATAAAAATAAATAGGAAACAAACAGAAAGCTCAAATATTGCATTAATTTAACAGGCATATCTTTGTGCATATTTTAGAGAACTCTATAAGTGGAACTGGGAGGAATAAGTAATAAGATGGGGTGTGATAAAACAGACATTGAAAAGGACCCCTGCCAAAATGATTTTTTTCAGGGTAACTTCTCCCTATTAGAAGTCATTTGTACAATTGCATGAAAAGATTTATGCTGTGTTTAATGTGATGTATAATCTACAATGAATAAGTAATTTGGCTCTGTTTCCAGGTCTTGATATAGTAATTTTATTGTCTTGATATAATCATATAAGCATTAATAGATCTATTTATTATCTGCCAACTAAGAGGTAATTGGGTCTAAGAAAAAGGTAGCAAATATGGTTTATTTCAGGCCAGAAGCCAGGAAGCTCCTTTTTGTGAGGTTCTGCCTCAAGTGAGAAATCCAGGCCAGGCATGGTGGCTCATGACTGTAATCCCAGCACTTTGGAAGACTGAGCCGGAAAGATTTCTTGAGCCCAAGAGTCCAAGACCAGCCTGGACAACATAGTGAGAACCATCTCCACAAAAGAAAACACAATGAGACAGAGAGAGATCCAAGAGGTGATAGCAGGGTTTCCAGGCACTGTCATGATGTCCCTGCATGCTTCCTGGGGCTGATGGATAAAGACTCCAATAGACAATTGAGATAAGACACAAAATCTCAAAGACAAATTTGACTAGCTGATAATTTTGGCAATGGGCAGCCTGATAAAGAATATCATGGAAGACTATACATATTATTTTCCCAGAATTAATTTTAAAACTTCAGTGTAGGTCACTCTAAATAGTAGAAAAGTTTCTGAACTGTGGCAGAAGCAAATTCTTTCTTTAGAATGTTTGATGTCAGAAGCAAATTCTTTAGATTGTTTGATGTCTTTGTCTGGACTGTAATCCAACTCACAAGCTTTGCTGTGATTTCATGCAGTTGTTTCCTTTCATATCAGGTTCTAAAAGCACTATCCCTAGACAGAACTCTTTTTCTTCTTTTTTGGTTGAAAGATAATACAATTTTAGTATTGCTTCAACCCTAGTGGTAATCAGATACGTCTCAAATATGAATGTACTCTAAGAAGTTGTAATTACAGCATAAGAAAATATTACATTTGAAATAACCATTGAAAAGCAACCACACAATGGTAGTATAAGTCTGCAACTCTCTAAATCAATGCCTCTAACATTAAAGAAAATCCAGCTATGAGATAACCTACAAAACCAAGAAAATATAATGTATGTGTATGAATATATGCCCTTTTTCTATAACAAGTAGACATATTAACTATGATGTCATATGCCATTAGTAGTTAGAGATATATAAATTAATTTACTATTTTAAAATTATCTGTTTATGTATCCAAAAATGTCTATCATTAGGTTTTATAAGCACTTGGGGCTACTTCCACATTGCCTGAAAAAAGTATTTAAAACTCACTTTCCTTGTCTCAATGTCTCCTTTTTTAATTTTTGTATTATATGCCTAATTTGCACTATAGTCTTTCTAAAAATTCAAACCTCATGAAGACAGTCCCACTCCATTAAAAATTCAAAATCATTCACTATTACTCTCAGATCAAATCCCAATACTTCTTCATGGTTTACTTATTATATGATTATTTGTTATTTCAGATATTCCCCAATTTTGTCTATCCAGGCCCATTTATCACTGTATACTCTAGCTCAGGGCATCTTAACCTACCCATCTTCTTCTTGCTGTAGTTAAAAAACTAAAATCCATGTGTATATTGACTCATTCAAATAGATACTGTGGTTAGAATTGTTTTCTAATTAATCAAAGTTAAGTTGCAGTTTGGACTTAGCTAGAACATCTATTATATTATAAAATTAAGACAAATTAAATGCACTAACACCTACATATATGCATGCCCTGCCACACAGAGATAAGCATATATATTATTAAAGAGAGAACAATAGGTATATATGCTATATTTATATAGACTAGACACTATGTCGACAGGACAGGGACTTGCTCTGTTTGCTCACCTTTGTAAAATGCCTGATTACAGGAGACCCTCAGTAAAATTCTGTTAAATGAGTAAATGGATAAAATTAATACCCCAAATCCTTGCTCAATGTATGATTCTATGACTTTAATTCATATTATGTTGAGATTCCTCAATGTGTAGCTTACTTAATATGCATGTTGTTCTTCTAAATGGAGTTAGTTTTGCATACATTTTTCTAAGGGGCAAAAATAAAAATATTAAAAACAAAAATGCTAACTAAAGCTCAGTACACTATTTTTTTGCACTTTCGAAGTATTTTATTCTATTCTTGTGAATCCATGTAAAATAACTTAATGAAGATAATGCATTTTATAGTCTGAATATAAAAATTTTATATTGCATTATTCATTGATGGATGAAAAGACTGCTAAATATTTGATATTGTCAAATTAAATAAAACAACTTGGCCTAAAACTGCCTCTGTACTTCGAATTCCTACATAGTGAATGACAACCTGACTTAGTATGTAAATAAACTACAACTTAAGACAATGTTCTTATAAAAAGCAGATGAGTGTTGGCCAATCACATCAGCCAAACTTCAGCTAGTCACAGGCTTCCAACTGATCAGACTACACCCAAATAAGGCAAATGCTGAACTGTAACCAATCAAATTGTTGGTATAAGTTACATCTTTTCTTTCTATGTGAATATCACCTGCCCATTTTGCTGGTTGAACTAGCTCTCCTGGTTCGCTGCGTTTCCTAATTTATGGATCGTTATTCGCTCAAATAAATTATGCAAAATTTAATGTGTCTAAAGTTTTTCTTTTAACAGTTTGGCATTAAAAAGTGGGATCTGAAGACCTCTACTGACCTCCAGGAGCACCAAGTGAGCAAATGAAGGTACCCTCTAGGGCCCATTTTGCCCATTGATCTCTCACATCAACTGGAGGTCATGAATGAGTTTGCTAACAGATTTGAGCTCCACAAATTTGTGATTTGAAGTCTCCAACTTGATTTGAGCAATTGTTACTGGACTAGGTCCAGGATTAAATTGAATCCAAAAATTAACTTGATTAGATTCTGTCAGTTAGAGCCAGGTAAATACCTTTTGAAACTGAATTCCTCCAAATTGAAGGAGTTTCAGACTCCAGGAGATTGAGACATCAGCTAAGTTTATGCATAAAAATTCTGGTCCCAGAACCTGTTCATTGTTTGAAAACTGAGTTAACCTTAATAAGAACAAGGTGGAATTACAGTGAACACAGTGGCAAAGTTTTAACCCAAATAAAATTGTTAACTTGCAAGATACTTTAGAAAAGAAAAGATCTAAAACACAACAAAAGCAATGAGATGCATTCTTTAATTGGTACAAAGAGACATCTAAAAGATTGAATGAATCAAATACTGGCGCTTTAAAAGGTTCTTTACAGAGGGCAAATAAAAAAAATCTTAAAAGACTTTTTCACACATATTAGTCTAAAGCTTTAGCCATCTGGGAAAAGCAAACAAACAAGCAAACAAAACCAAAAAACCTATTTAACCAGCCAGAGAAAAATGATTTGGATTTAGATATTCTTTAATAAATTATTGAGTTTTATATTAATGTACTTGGCACATAGTTACAATTTTGTATGCTTCTATATGTGATATATGTGTGATATTTTTTATCTTCATATGATACTGCCAAAATTAGATTGTAAATGAGATCTATTTAATTGGCTTAAAGAAAAATAAACACATAAATTATTTCCTCTGCAAAATAAGAACTAACTCAAATGCTTTTCAAGTTCATGTGTCTTGAGAAATCTTTGGTATTTAAGAATATTTTTGATTTGATTATATAGTCATATCTTCATAATTGTCAGTATTAAATGTAATACAGATACACAACTTTTCCTACCTGGATTTATTAGTAAAATTAGTAAATGTTATCTTTATATTACAAAATTTATCAGCAAGAAAAATAAGATAATGGCAACGTTTTGATGTCTCATCTTCATAAGCAGTCCAAGCGTAATTGTTAATAAATAAGTGAGTTAAGTAGACGTAAGTAAGATTTTAAAATTTCTGTGAAAAAAAAGGCCTCTCTATATCAGAAGGTTTAACATTCTTATCACATATAATCAAGGATGGAAAGTTGAGGCTGAAGGAAGTTTGTATACACAATGAAGGTCTAGAGGCCAAAAAAAAAAAAAAAAGCCTTGAGAAAACAGATAAGATTTTGTCTCCTCCATAGTTTTTATTACAGACAGACTAAAAATATATTTGGGATTCTTACTAAACATGTACTATGCCATATCAACAAATTATACTATGAGAAAGCATACGCTTCAAGAAATTATGATTCACACATTTTCCAATCCACAGATTGCTAGTATGACAGACATTTCACAATTGCTTGCTTCTTGGTGTTCACTGAAAATTAAGGTCACTAAGGATTAAGAATTCTAATTAATATATATAATTAAAATTGCTAAAATTAATATAAGATAAACAATTTATACATATATACAAGGAAAGCAAGATGTGTTTTTGGTAGGGAAAGGCTAGACAGTATGAGGAGATTTTCTTTTGTCAAGGAAAAATAGAGTAATTTTTCTCATAAAGTAGAATGACTGGTGGTTTCCAAATGAGAAAGAAAAAACTATAGGATGAAAAATGAATGGATTTAAGACAGCTGTAAAACGTTTGCAGAACAGGGTTCTTAGGAAAAATGTTAATATGATCAAGCTGGCTAAGTTTAAAATGAACTGTAAGTTTTGCTAAAAGTTGAGCATTAATATCAAAAGTACACAGATGCAAAACTGGAATTAGGTTCTGTTAAAACAGCAAGGTTTTCTTGGAATATTGGTCTACTATGAATTAAAAAAAATGCATAAGGCTTTTGTTTACTTTTCTGGTAATTGCCCTAGCAAACAAAAGTCCTGTTTTACCAAGATCATATCCTGTGATTCATGTTGTCTTTATTAGTTTTTGATCACTTAAGAAAATAGTCCTCTTTATTAAATAGGGTTTTTCTACAATATGTAACTTTCTGAATTTACCTTCGAAGCCTTTAAATTATCACATTGGTTAAATGAATGACTATTGTTCACAGTCATTGGTGATACTATCTTAAGCAAATATTTTAAATCTTTTGACATTTTTTGACAACTTCTCAAAATCAAATATGGGCATACCACAGAGATATTACAGATTTGGTTTCAGACCAGTGCAATAAAGCAATGTTGGAATAAAGTGAGTCACATAAAACTTTTGGTTTCCCAGTGAATATAAAGTTTCATCTATACCATACTGTAGTGTATTAAGTATATAATAGCATTAAGTCTAAAAAACATATGCATAGCTAAATTTAAAAATAATTTTTGATAAACAGTGCTAATAATCATGAGCTATAATAGTTTGAAACGACTCTTTTTTTTTTTTTTTTTTTTTTTTTCCGAGCAGTAGGTTTCAACAGTGGGCTAAAAATGTTTAGTAAACCATGCTGACAACTGACAGGCTGCCATCCAGGCCTCATTGTTACATTTATACAGCACAGGCAGAGTAGATTTAGCATAATTCCCAGGGGCCCTAGGATATTCATAATGGTAAATGAACATTGGCTTCAACTTATGGTCACCAGCCGCATTAGTACTAACGAGAGAGTCAGACCATATTTTGAAGCCAGACATTAATTTCTCTCTAGCTAGGAAAGTTCTAGATGGCACCTTCTTTCAATGCAAGGCTGTTTTCTCTACATTGAAACCTTTTGTTTAGTGTAGCCACTAAAAAATGATCTGGATTTTCATCAATGATCTTAGCTAGATCTTCTGGATAACATTGTGAAACTTCTATAATACATCATAATTTGCTGCTTCACTTTATACTTTTGTGTTTTGAAAATGGCTTCTTTCCTTAATCCTCATGAACCAATCTCAGCTAGTTTCCAACTTTTCTTCTGCAGCGTTCCCACCTCTCTCAGCCTTCATAAAATTGAAGAGATTTAAGAACTTACTCTGGGTTAGGCTTTGGCTTAAGGAAATGTGACTGGTTTGATCCTCTATGAAAACTACTACAACTTTCTCCCTGTCAATCAGCAAGAAGGCTGCTTTGCTTTCTTTTCATTCACTGGAATAGCGTTTTTAATTTTCTTCAAGTATTCTTCCTTTGCTTCCACAACTTGACTGTTTGGTACAAGAGATCGGCTTTGGACCTGTCTTTGTGAATGAGACCAAATGATGATGGTAAAGGACATGAGGTCAGATAAGCAAATGGTTGAAAATCAACGTATCGTCTGTTAACTGCTTGCCTTTCAAACTACTTCTCTTATCTTAAAGTAGGCAAAAATTTCTATTTCTTATTTTTAAAACCATATATATCACAGATGATTGGGGAGAGATATAGAATTTGTGAACAAAGATCTTGAGGAGGTTTTCACATCACAGTGCTAGACAAGGCACAGAGCTGTCATTGAATCAAAATTGGTTTGGCTTCAAAACACTGCTGTGACTTTCGCTTTGTCTGAATTCCCTGATCATATCCAGGATTAAGAACCATACATAGCTTCTAAGTAGTCTGGTTGAGCTTCATTTTTGCCCTTCAAAGATGCTAAGAAACTTTAGAATGTTTTTTCCTAGAGTCTAGAGATATTGGTGCTAAGCTTCTCTATTCGTGGTAGACACAGAAACCAGGTGCTAATGGGAAATTTATGCAGATGAGAATAAACTTTGTAAACTGAGTATGAGGGCCTGAGCAGACTAGCTGATCTGCCAAAATTAGAAACCACAGAAGATGGGAGTCTCTTATCTCAGTGGCCTAGCAAGAATTAGCTAATGAATATTGAGGACATTACCTAATTTTTCTTAGCCTCCACTTTTCATCTGAAAACATATATTTTTTAAAGTTCTAAAATATTTGTCCCAAATAGAACATTTTTTTGAGATCAAATCCAAAGTCCTACATAGATAATATAAAAGAAACCACTTGGAAGGAACATGAACAAAGCAGGCTGCAATGCACTCATACAATAATGTCCACACAGAGTACAGGGTTTTGAAGTCAGAGAAGATTCTGGAAATAGAAAACTGTGGAGAAACACCTTGCATCTGGTGAAATGTGAGGAGGCCTGATAGGAATGTGTCAAAATGCTTTTTACTGTCTCCATTTAAACAGCACCTTTCACTTTATTTTTATTTTTTGAAACTACCAGAAAGAGAAACTATTCTCTCAAGTTGATCATAATGCCAAGGGAAAGCTGGAGAAAGGTCTAAATTCTTGACCATGAGCCCCAGGGAGTATACACTTTTAATCAAGTGTGAGGTATTGGTAACATTATTGCAACTTCAATGCCAAGGTATTTAAGTTTTGAAGCAAAAAATCCCAGGAGACAAGCTGACAGCATCTAGCCCGGCTGCCAATTGCTTATATAGATTTAGACTAAGGCTTTTTATAAATAAACATAGCCCAGATTACATCCTGTGGGGAAAGCCCAGCAAAGGGTCGTCTGTGATGGGCTACAAAATGTCATCCTCACACTTTTTAAATATAGAGGGAAAACATTCTTTCAATAGGAAAAGGTTTCTTGAAAGGAATCAATGCACAGAGGGAGGTTTGCTTATGTAATTGGTACATTCCTGATGACCTGGTTTCCTTGCTGTAGCTGGAAAATTAAAAAGAATCACAGGTTTGTTAAAACATTCATATACAATGTTGTCTGAGGATAAACAATGAGGAAAATGGTGGTTTTTCTGATAGTGTCTACAAGTATTTTTCAGTCAGGAAGGAAGTGTAGATTAGTAGCACCCTGAATTACTTAGGGGAAGATCAAAACTATGTATTTGAGCATATGTTTATAAGAGAAATCCAAAGATCACCCACGTGATTTTAATGAGAAATTTGACATTCAAATGTATGTGTAGATTTATTGATAGATAATGTACTTCCAAAAGATATACATTATGAACCCTGCTTTATCAAAAGAAGAGTAAAGAAATGAATCCATGGTGACATGATATCCACCAAATGAGTCATCAACTAAATATGTTTCCACTCGATTCAGATTCTTCAAATACATTTTCTATATCCTCTTAATTTAATGTATTCATGAAAACACTTTATTTAATCATTTTCAAACAAGTTGGCAAGCCAGTGCATCATTAGTAACATATGTCTTCACTAGTGATCAGCAGATTTCATAAAAAGTTGCATCCCTAGTTTAATATTGTTGATATAATTGAAAGATGGTTATTCCTGTCAAATTATCCAGCCTGAAGCACACAATTTAGATTAGGTAATTAAGTATTTCTGCTCTTTTTAGGTCATGACTTTTTTTATATGTATTAATTATTTAATCAGATTATTTCCTACACCCATCCAAAACAATCAGATAAAACAATCTAATTTTATAAGAGATGATATAAAAAATGGAGAGTATATGTGTAAAAATATCTATGGAATAAAACAGCTGACTGTCTCTGTCAGCTCAGGGAACTATATTAAACCCTTTAACCCTTATCTTCTTAATCTATAAAAATGGGATATTAACACCTATATCACAGAATTGCCATTAGGATTATGTAAAATTATGTATTATATTCAAGGCAACTAGTATAATTTTAACACAAATTGTTTCTTCACATACAAACAGAAGCTGTTGTTATCACTGATACCACAGCTGTCTTTTTCTCCTCTTTTCCTTCCTTTCTTCCTCTCTTTTATTTCTTCTCTTTCCCTTTCTTCTTATCAAGAATGCTCTTGGCTATGAATGTACAAGAATGCAGAGATAAAGATGTTACTCCCAGGAAAACATTCACTAACACAGACACAGGACATATATACTGTCAAAAAGACGGAACACAATTTTGGCACATTTTATGTTTGAATTAAGTAAAATTTACCTTTGCAGACATAAATCTACAAAAGGAAGAAATTACTCAAAAAAAGAGAATTATTACCAAAAAAAAGGCTTCACTTTCCCATAAGAAGTGTATGATCTAATGAAACCAGGCTCCTCATATGTATGGTTAACCATGATACAAACTGTAGCTCACTTCCCCATGAACTTACACTTTTTTTCCTTTTTATTTTATTCTATTTTCTAGAGATGAGTTTCGCCATATTGCCCAGGCTGGTCTCAAACTCCTGAGCTCAAACAATCTGCTGACCTCGGCCTTCCACATACTGGGATTACAGGCGTTAGCCACCACACACGGGCAACTTACCTTAAGGTATTAAAAGTATAACCACTTATTTATAATAACGAAGCAAGAGATATTATCATATCATTCATTTTAGACAGATGCACAATGTTTTTAGATTTCTTTAAACATTGCTCTGAACTAGAAGGTGCACATTTCAGTATATTCCCACTGACTATTTTTAATAAAGTCTATTGTAATAACAGCCTACCAGTTTTTAGTAATGTCACTTTTTTTTTTGGTTAAAGGGTCTGTTTATGTCATTCAGATATAACTGTTCATAGACAAATTTAACTAGTTAAATTATTTAACAATAACCTAGTTAAAATACCACGTACTAGAAATTAACGTCAGATGCAATGCTTCTTTACAATATAAGAAATACTGACATACATAAATCTTACGAGCTTTTAAGAAAAATCTGCAGTAAATAGCATGCTTGATCAATTTTTAAAGGTTAGTTTTTCTGCATATAAAAGTAACCATACACACTGGCAAGTTGCACTTTTCCATAACATTGATAAATCTAGTGTTTATTTTCTAGCATTATAATTTTTATGGCCCAAGTTACATTATTTTTAAATATAAAATAAATAAATTCATTTTATATCAAATTAAAAACAAAAAATTTGAAATTTCATAAAGCTTCCCTTCTGAAGAGCTACTAACTTTAAAAATGTCTTTGTGCAATGCATAAGTTTTTCTTTTATAGTTGAAAAAATAACCAATTCAAGCTCATTAATATATAATTATGAATTATTTAATTACAGATCAAGCCTCATTTAAGATTTTCAAAAAATTGGAAGATAGAATATTAGATTTTGTCATATTTTTCTAATAATAAATCAGAGAAGCCAGTGATTGATTAAATAAATAAATGTAAGTATATTTTTATTTTTCTCTCAGTAAAATAGTGTTATTTAATCAATGGCATACCATATATATATATAATCATATAATCTAGGAATAAGAGAAAGCCCTGTGTCTATCTTGCATTTAACAAATTGCTTCATCAACACATATGATAAGAAGGAACCTGCAACTGTAGGTGCATTTGTCATTTTTTCTCATCTAAATGTATACAAAAATTAGTAAAGGTTTTGAAAATATCACCATAATCATAATACCTACCATATATTGAGTGTCCACAGTGTATTTGTCATTGTGTTTGAACTTTCATATCCATCTTATTGACCTGACCCTACTTACATGTTGCAGTGATGGTTAATACTGAGTGTCAACTTGATTGGATTGAAGGATACAAAGTATTGATACTGGGTGTGTCTGTGAGGTTGTTGCCAAGGGAGATTAACATTTGAGTCAGTGGGCTAGGAAAGGAGGTCCCACCCTTGATCTAGGTAGACACAATCTAATCAGCTGCCAGCATGGCTAGAATATAAGCAGGCAGAAAAATGTGAAAAGAGAGACTGGCATAGCCTTCCAGCCTACATCTTTCTCTTATACTGGATGCTTCTTGCTCTAGAACAATGGACTCCAGGTTCTTCAGTTTTGGAACTCGGACTGGCTCTTCTTCCTCCTCAGCCTGCAGACTGCCTACTGTGGGACCTCACAATCATGTGAGTTAATAATAAACTCATATACACACACACACATATATATATTCCATTAGTACTGTCCCTATAGAGAACCCTGACTAATGAATTCTGGGGATAAATATTTGTTATCTTCTTAGAATAATGTTAATTACATAAAATCATGGAATTTAGAAGTAAATAATGCCTTGAATCCTCTTAATTCAAATTTTATATTTCATTGATGATGAAACTGAGGGCCACAGAGATGATATATCTTTTCAGAGTAAAATGGCTAGAAAATGATAGATCGTAGATACAATTCATTTCTTCTGATGCCTAAGTCTGTTTCTTTCTTCAATACACTTTTATTATTTATATTGAAATTCCAGAAACTATCATGTGCATCTGTACTATTGTGCCTTCATATCTGTGTGAGCAAGAGTCAGTGTTCTTATTCCTTTGTAAGAAGCTTTACGGTGCACACTAGGGACCAGATTATTCTCAGAGATGCCTGGGGATGACACATGCAGAGGCAAAGCTGACACCAAGAACTGCTTGTTGCTTTAAGTCAACTCTAATGTGGTTTCATGGAGCCAATAGCCAACGTAGTCCTTCCAGATCTTTCAGTCAGGGGGTAGTTTTAGGCAAACTCTAAATAGTTTGACCATTGGAGCTTCTTCAAGTTGGCTCCTAAAGTCCTTTTTGATATGATCCCTGAAAGCTTTGGTAACTTTCTTGTCTTCTGGTATAGGATTTCCTGGCATGACTTTGTGCCCCAAACCTAGAATTAGTCCTTTTTTCAAGCAGCAATATTTTTATTTTCAAGTAGGAAAGAATATTTAGAGAGCACAACCTTGTGCTCACGGCATAGTCATTGTTCCTAGGTGTTTCAGTGGAAAGAGACTGTATGTATGTGTGCGTGTGCATTAAATTCGTCATCATCCAAGAGGAGGTGGTCTTATTAGGCTCTAATATATGCTCCACCTCACAAGACTATTATAGGTCACATGTGACATCACATTTACATAGAAGGACAAAGAAAGAGGAATCACAGCTTGCCAGAAGGTCAGCATCAAGCATTCATTTTCAGTGGAAGTATTTCCTGTACACCTGCCTACATAGATTCCAGGAGCTGTCTCCACCCTTCCCCAGGAAGCTCAGGCTCAAGGGAATAAGGCTTACTTCTGGCAAGTGAGGGATCTGATCTATCTTAGAAGCTACATGTCTCAAAGGATTTAAAAATATCTTAACTCCATAGACGTAGCTTCCAGGGTCTAACCCATCAAGGGCAAAGTCACCACATCCAGGGAAGCCCAATATTAGGGCTTTACATTAGATATTTATGATTCATACATAGAATCCTTAGAACAAGTGTTATTTACCTATCAGGGATCCTGTTTACCACAGGGAGTGTTGCTAATTAACACAGTTGCCAGATCACCTTAATTAGGGTTCCTAATTAGTGAATAGAGGTAGAATTTTAAGATAAATTACACCATAACTTATTCATATTAGTACTTTCACTGAGGGCTATGGAGACTTTATTTAACCTCAGAAATTTATATCTGTAGTTCCCACCCCCAAAAAAATCCTACTTCTCGATTACACTAGTATAATAACTCATTTGCTTTATCCCTCAATACACATGGAACAGCATCGGGTTAGGAATATCAACACTACCAACAAAATAATGAGCGCAATGAGTTCAATATTTTTTCCTTTAATTCTTTTTATCCTAAGGGCATATCCAAGTAAGGATGAATGACGAAATTGCCATATCTTAAACTCTTAAACTGACTTGGCATAGTTTCTCTTTGTGTTGTTTACCAATAATTTATGACATTAGTTTATTTATTTAACTTCATTGTCAATTATCAGTATTTAGGGACTAGTTTTATTTAATTATTTTGTATATTTATGTAAAATATATACAAGTACCTGAAGTAAAACCTATGAAAGACAGGGTTTCTTTTTTCTTTTTTCCTTTTTTTTTTTTTTTTAAGATGGAACCTCTCTTGCCCAGGCTGGAGTGCAGTGACGTGATCTTGGCTCACTGCAACCTCCACCTTCCAGATTCAAGTGATTCTCTTGCCTCAGCCTCCTGAGTAGCTGGGATTACAGGTGCCCGCCACCATGCCTGGCTAATTTTTGTATTTTTAGTAGAGACGGGGTTTCCTCATGTTGGCCAGGCTGACCTCAGGTGATCCACTCGCCTCGGCCTCCCAGAGTGATGGGATTACAGGCATGAGCCACCGCGCCCAGCGGAGGGGGTTCATTTCTATCTCTATTTCCCAATCCTGGTTCTTTCTTCCTCCTACAGGTAACAGTGATTTTTATATTAACTTTTTAGTTTAATCTTTTATTAATAAATAAGAAAATGTGTGTATTCACATTCTTCCCTTTCAGATAGACAGCTGATGTTATAGACAGTAAATCCTCACTTTACATCATCAATAGGTTCTTGAAAACTGACTTTAAGCAAAAACAACATTTAACAAAACCAGTTTTACCATAGGCTAATTGATATTAAAAAGAGTTAAGTTCCTATGGCATATTTCTTGTCATAAAAACATCATCAAACTTTTAGATAAAAATCCCACATATATCTAATATTAAACATGGTAATAAATGTAAGCTAGATATACATTTAAGAAAGAATAATAAAAACAAGTAAGACAATTATTTCCTTACTTATTCAAGTCCAGTGTTGCAGGTGCCTGAAGCCTATTCCAGAAGGTCAGGACACAAGGTGGAACCCACCCTGGACAGGATGCCATCCCATTGCTGAGCACCCTCCCACACACCCACACTCACACTAGAACAATATAGACAAACCAATTTACCTGACATGCACAGCTTTAGGATGTGGGCGGAAAATGGACTACCAGGATAAAACACAGGCAGACATGGGGAGAACATGCAAACTCCATATAAACTGTGGCTCCTGCTGAGAATAGATTTTTTTCCTTATCAACCTTATAACAACCTTATAACAAACCGACATTAAGCAAACTGACATTCAAGGACCTCCTGTACACTTTTATATAACTTGCTTTCTTCACTTAATATATCCTAGTCTACTCATTCAATAAGAATATGTAGAGATTCCTCATTATTGTTTTCTTTAACAATAGATTTATTGGCTGGCGGTTCCAAGATGGCCAAATAGGAACAGCTCCAGTCTATAGCTCCCAGCATGAGTGACGCAGAAGATGTGTGATTTCTGCATTTCCAATTGAGGTACCAGGTCCATCTCACTGGGGCTTGTCGGACAGTGGGTGCAGTGCACCAAGTGTGAGCCAAAGCAGGGTGAGGCATCGCCTCACCTGGAAAGTGCAAGGGGTCAGGGAATTCCCTTTCCTAGCCAAGCAAAGTGGCGACAGATGGCACCTGGAAAGTTGGGTCACTCCCACCCTAATACTGTGCATTTCCAATGGTCTTACCAAACGGCACACCAGGAGATTATATCCTGCACCTGGTTTGGAGGGTCCCATGCCCATGGAGCCTTGCTCATTGCTAGCACAGCAGTTTGAGATCCAACTGCAAGGCAGCAGTGAGGCTGGGGAAAGGGCGCCTGCCATTGCTGAGGCTTGAGTAGGTAAACAAAGTGGCCAGGAAGCTCGGACTGGGTGGAGCCCACCCCAGCTCAAGGAAGCCTGCCTGCCTCTGTAGGCTCCACCTCTGGGGGCAGGGCATAGCCAAACAAATGACAGCAGAAACCTCTGCAGACTTAAATGTCCCTGTCTGACAGCTTTGAAGAGAGTAGTGGTTCTCCCAGCCCGCAGCTGGAGATCTGAGAATGGACAGACTGCCTCCTCAAGTGGGTTCCTGACCCCCGAGTAGCCTAACTGGGAGGCACCCCCCAGTAGGGGCAGACTGACACCTCACACAGCTGGGTACCCCTCTGAGATGAAACTTCCAGAGGAACGATCAGACAGCAACATTTGCTGTTCAGCAATATTCGCTGTTCTGCAGCCTCCGCTGCTGATACCCAGGCAAACAGGGTCTGGAGTGGACCTCCAACAAACTCCAACAGACCTGCAGCTGAGGGTCCTGACTGTTAGAAGGAAAACTAACAAACAGAAAGGACATCCACACCAAAACCCCATCTGTATGTCACCATCATCAAAGACCAAAGGTAGATAAAACCACAAAGATGGGGAAAAAACAGAGGAGAAAAACTGAACATTCTAAAAATCAAAGTGCCTCTCCTCCTCCAAAGGAACGCAGCTCCTCACCAACAATGGAACAAAGCTGGATGGAGAATGACTTTGATGAGTTGAGAGAAGAAGGCTTCAGATGATCAAACTACTCCGATCTAAAGGAGGAAGTTCAAACCCATGGCAAAGAAGTTAAAAAGCTTGAAAAAAGATTAGACGAATGGCTAACTACGACAACCAATGTAGAGAAGTCCTTAAATGACCTGATGGAGCTGAAAACCATGTCACAAGAACTACGTGACGAATGCACAAGCTTCAGTAGCTGATTTGATCAGCTGGAAGAAAGGGTATCAGTGATTGAAGATCAAATGAATGAAATGAAGCGAGAAGAGAAGTATAGAGAAAAAAGAATAAAAAGAAATGAACAAAGCCTCCAAGAAATATGGGACTATGTGAAAAGACCAAATCTACATCTAACTGGTGTACCTGAAAGTGATAGGGAGAATGGAACCAAGTTGGAAAACACTCTGCAGGATATTATCCAGGAGAACTTCCCCAAACTAGCAAGGCAGGCTAACATTCAAATTCAGGAAATACAGAGAATGCCACAAAGATATGCCTCGAGAAGAGCAACTCCAAGACACATAATTGTCAGATTCACCAAAGTTGAAATGAAGGAAAAAATGATAAGGACAGCCAGAGAGAAAGGTCGGGTTACCCACAAAGGGAAGCCCATCAGACTAACAGCTGATTTCTCAGCAGAAACTCTACATGCCAGAAGAGAGGGGCGGCCAATATTCAACATTCTTAAAGAAAAGAATTTTCAACCCAGAATTTCATATCCAGCCAAACTAAGCTTCATAAGTGAAGGAGAAATAAAATACTTTACAGACAAGCAAATGCTGAGAGATTTTGTCACCACCAGGCCTGCCCTACAAGAGCTCCTGAAGGAAGCACTACACATGGAAAGGAACAACCGGTACCAGCCACTGCAAAAACATGCCAAATTGTAAAGACCATTGATGCTAGGAAGAAACTGCATCAACTAACGAGCAAAATAACCAGCTAACATCATAATGACACGATCAAATTAACACATAACAATATTAAACTTAAACGTAAATGGGCTAAATGCTGCAATTAAAAGACACAGACTGGCAAATTGGATAAAGAGTCAGCATCCATCAATGTGCTGTATTCAGGAAACCCATCTCACGTGCAGAGACATACATAGGCTCAAAATAAAAGGATGGAGGAAGATCTACCAAGCAAATGGAAAATGAAAAAATGCAGGGGTTGCAATCCTAGTGTCTGATAAAGCAGACTTTAAACCAACAAAGATCAAAAGAGACAAAGAAGGCCATTACATAATGGTAAAGGGATCAATTCAACAAGAAGAGCTAACTATCCTAAATATATACGCATCCAATACAGGAGCACCCAGATTCATAAAGCAAGTCCTTAGAGACCTACAAAGAGACTTAGACTCCCACACAATAATACTGGGAGACTTTAACACCCCACTCTCAACATTAGACAGATCCACGAGACAGAAAGTTAACAAGGATATCCAGGAATTGAATTCAGCTCTGCACCAAATGGACCTAATAGACATCTACAGAACTCTCCACCCCAAATCAACAGAATATACATTCTTCTCAGCACCACATCGTACTTATTCCAAAATTGACCACATAGTTGGAAGTAAAGCACTCCTTAGAAAATGTAAAAGAACAGAAATTATAACAAACTGTCTCTCAGACCACAGTGCAATCAAACTAGAACTCAGGATTAAGAAACTCACGCAAAACCTCTCAACTACATGGAAACTGAACAACCTGCTCCTGAATAACTACTGGGTACATAATGAAATGAAGGCAGAAAGAAAGATGTTCTTTGAAACCAACAAAAACAAAGACACAACATACCAGAATCTCTGGGACACATTCAAAGCAGTGTGTGGAGGGAAATTGATAGCACTAAATGCCCACAAGAGAAAGCAGGAAAGATCCAAAATTGATACCCTAACAACACAATTAAAACAACTAGAGAAGTAAGAGCAAACACATTCAAAAGCTAGCAGAAGGCAAGAAATAACTAAGATCAGAGCAGAACTGAAGGAGATAGAGACACAAAAAACCCTTCAAAAAATCAATGAATCCAGGAGCTGGTTTTTTGAAAAGATCAACAAAATTGATAGACTGACAGCAACACTCACAAAGAAGAAAAGAGAAGAATCAAATAGATGCAATAAAAAATGATACAGGGGAGATCACCACCAATCCCACAGAAATACAAACTACCATCAGAGAATACTATAAACACCTCCATGCAAATAAACTAGAAAATCTCGAAGAAATGGATAAATTCCTCGACACATACACCCTCCCAAGACTAAACCAGGAAGAAGTTGAATCTCTTAATACACCAATAACAGGCTCTGAAATTGAGGCAATAATTAATAGCTTACCAACCAAAAAAAGTCCCAGACCAGACGGATTCACAGCCGAATTCTACCAGAGGTACAAGGAGGAGCTGGTACCATTCCTTCTGAAACTATTCCAATCAACAGAAAAAGAGGGAATCCTCCCTAACTCATTTTATAAGGCCAGCATCATCCTGATACCAAAGCCTGGCAGAGAGAGACACAACAAAAAAAGAGAATTTTAGACCAATATCCTTGATGAACATTGATGCAAAAATCCTCAATAAGATACTGGCAAACCCAATCCAGCAGCACATCAAAAAGCTTAACCACCATGATCAAGTGGGCTTCATCCCTGGGATGCAAGGCTGGTTCAACATATGCAAATCGATAAACATGATCCAGCATATAAACAGAACCAAAAACAAAAACCACATGATTATCTCAATAGATGCAGAAAAGGCCTTTGACAAAATTCAACAACCCTTCATGCTAAAAACTCTCAATAAATTAGGTACTGATGGGACATATCTCAAAATAATAAGAGCTATTTATGACAAACCCACCGCCAATATCATACTGAATGGGCAAAAACTGGAAGCATTCCCTTTGAAAACTGGCACAAGGCAGGGATGCCCTCTCTCACCATTCCTATTCAACATAGTGTTGGAAGTTCTGGCCAGGGCAATCAGGCAGGAGAAGGAAATAAACAGTATTCAATTAGGAAAAGAGGAAGTCAAATGGTCCCTGTTTGCAGATGACAAGACTGTGTATCTAGGAAGTCCAATCGTCTCAGCCCAAAATCTCTTTAAGCTGATAAGCAACTTCAGCAAAGTCTCAGGATACAAAATCAATGTGCAAAAACCACAAGCATTCCTATACACCAATAACAGAGAGCCAAATCATGAGTGAATTCCCGTTCACAATTGCTTCAAAGAGAATAAAATACCTAGGAATCCAACTTACAAGGGATGTGAAGGACCTCTTCAAGGAGAACTACAAACCACTGCTCAAGGAAATAAAAGAGGATACAAACAAATGGAAGAACATTCCATGCTCATGGATAGGAGGAATCAATATTGTGAAAATGGCCATACTGCCCAAGGTAATTTATAGATTCAATGCCATCCCCATCAAGCTACCAATGACTTTCTTCACAGAATTGGAAAAAACTACTTTAAAGTTCATATGGAAACAAAAAAGAGCCTGCGTTGCCAAGTCAATCCTAAGCCAAAAGAACAAAGCTGGAGGCATCACACTACCTGACTTCAAACTATACTACAAGGCTACAGTAACCAAAACAGCATGGTACTGGTTCCAAAACAGAGATACAGACCAATGGAACAGAACAGAGCCCTCAGAAATAATACTGCACATCTACAACCATCTGATCTTTGACAAAGCTGACAAAAACAAGGAATGGGGAAAGGATTCCCTATTTAATAAATGGTGCTGGGAAAACTGGCTAGCCATATGTAGAAAGCTGAAACTGGATCCCTTCCTTATACCTTATACAAAAATTAATTCAAGATGGATTAAAGACTTACATGTTAAATGTAAAACCATAAAAACCCTAGAAGAAAACCTAGGCAATACCATTCAAGACATAGGCATGGGCAAGGACTTCATGTCTAAAACAACGAAAGTAATGGCAACAAAAGTCAAAATTGACAAATGGGATCTAATTAAATTAAAGAGATTCTGCACAGCAGAAGAAACTACCATCAGAGTGAACAGGCAACCTACAGAATGGGAGAAAATTTTTGCAACCTACTCATCTGACAAAGGGCTAATATCCAGAATCTACAAAGAACTCAAACAAATTTACAAGAAAAAAACAACCCCATCAACAAGTGGGCAAAGGATATGAACAGACACTTCTCAAAAGAAGACGTTTATGCAGCCAAAAGACACATGCAAAAATGCTCATCATCACTGGCCATCAGAGAAATGCAAATCAAAACCACAATGAGATACCATCTCACACCAGTTAGAATGGTGATCATTAAAAAGTCAGGAAACAACAGGTGCTGGAGAGGATGTGGAGAAATAGGAACACTTTTGTACTGTTGGTGGGACTGTAAACTAGTTCAACCATTGTGGAAGACAGTGTGGCGATTCCTCAGGGATCCAGAACTAGAAACACCATTTGACCCAGCAATCCCATTACTGGGTATATACCCAAAGGATTATAAATCATGCTGCTATAAAGACACATGCACACGTATGTTTATCACGGTACTTTTCATACTTGGAGATAGGAAGAGGAACATCACACACCGGGGCCTGTCATGGGGTGGGGGTAAGGGGGAGGGATAGCATTAGGAGATATACCTAATGTAAATGATGAGTTAATGGGTGCAGCACACCAACATGGCACATGTATACATATGTAACAAACCTGCATGTTGTGCACATGTACCCTAGAACTTAAAATATAACAAAAAAAAAAAACACAGTAGAATTATTGAGATACAATTCACATCACATAATATTCATTCTTTTTAACATGTACACTTTAAGTGTCTTTTAGTGTAGTAACAGAGTATTGCAACTATCATGACTATCTAATTTAAGAATATTTTCATTACCTACAAAAGAAATGCCATATTCATTAACAGACACACTTTGTTTCTCCATTCCCCTATTCCCTGGCAACCACTAATCTACTTTCCGTGTCTATGAATTTGCCTATTGTGAGTATTTAAGATAAATTAATGATGTGTTATGACTGGCTTCTTTCATGTAGCCTAATCTTTTCAAAGTTCACCCATATTGTAGCATGTATCAGTACCCCTTTTCTTTGTATTTCCAAATAACATTTCATTGTTTAGCTATATCATATTTTGTTTTTCCATTCATCATTTGATGGTGATTTATGTTTTTATTTCATTTTTAGCTTTTCCGAATAATGCCACTATAAATAGTCATGTACAAATTTATATGTGGATATATGTTTTCAATACTCTGGAAATACACTAGGAGTAGAATTGCTGAATGATAAGTATCTCTATGTTTAACATATTGAGAAACCACCAAATTTTTCCAAAGCGTCTGCACCACTTTACAATATATAGGGTTTGAATTTAACCACATTGTCATCACACTTTTTATATTATTTATCATTTTGTACAGGCATCCTAGTGAGTGTAAAGCAGCACCTCAATGCGGTTTGACTTATGTTCAACTAATGATTAATGATGTTGAGCCCTTTTTCATGTGACTTTTGTATGTGTTTGGGGAAATATCAACTCAAATCTTGTTTTGTCATTTGTAAATTGGGTTATTTGTCTTTTTATTGTTAACTTGTATGATGTCTTCATATATCCTGAATATATGTACGTTATTAGATATTTTATTTTGATAATATTGTCTTCAATTCTATGAATTATCTTTTCACTTTCTTAATAGTTTTACAACTTTAGATCCATTTAGCTCTGTGATCCATTTGGAGTTTTTTTTTAATTTTAATATTGTGTGGATCAGGAGTCCAACATCCTTCTATTGCATGTGGATATCCAATTGTCTCAACACCATTTGTTGAAAAGGCTATTCTTTAAAAAGAGTTTACTTAGTTTAAGAGGGCTATTTAAGGGACATCCTGAAGTCTTTGGTGGAAACAGAACTAAGTCCATTATTGATTACAAACTGACCTTACAAGTATACTTATTCCTGATTCTCAATATTAAAGGATACCCATAATTTGAGGTTAAATAAGATAATACGTATGAAAGTAGGCTTTGCTAAAATACCTATTGAATACAATGTTACAAAATAAGGCAACTGATACAAATTTGCATTAGTTATAACTGATTCTGAAAACTTTTTACTGCATACTGTTTCAGAAATTGCAGAGGGACCTTTATATACAAGCACACTGTGTTTTTTCTGAAACACCTTGATGAGAGGAATGTATATTGCACATAAGATTTTAGCATAAAAATATAAAATAAACATGGTATTCA
This sequence comes from Homo sapiens, assembly GCF_000001405.40. Taxonomy (NCBI): domain Eukaryota; kingdom Metazoa; phylum Chordata; class Mammalia; order Primates; family Hominidae; genus Homo; species Homo sapiens. Next base: position 31,223,238 of record NC_000009.12, on the reverse strand, counting down.
TTTACCATCTGGTATGTTGTAAATATATTGTTGTTTACCCTTTTCAGAAGCACTAAATGAATTTTATAATTGCTTCATTATCTGCAATATGTGATACGTCCAAAGCTGTTCTGGTGATGATTACACATGGCTTCTTTAACAAAACACAAAGCAAAATGCAAAGAAAGATAGGTGAAGTCATCTGAAGAACCTATGTGTGTTTGTATATAAAGAAAGATGTCTCCTGAAATAATGCTGTTCTGAGTTTTCAGTGCAGCTTTAAGCAATCTAGCTAATGTCATCTGCTTCAAACCAAGTGCATCACTGAGACTACAAAGCACACTTTGCTAAAATTCAAATCAGCAACAGAGCAGAGTTTAGCAATAAAAGTTCATTGGGATGTGTCTCTAATGTAATCTTCCTCGATCTGATAGCTTTAATCCTATTCTCCTTTCTTTTAGAATGGCTATAAGTACATGATAAAATGCAGGCCATTGGAGAGAGAGCCACTTTTGTAGTATATTCTCTTTGCTTTATGATAGCCAATATCTAAATATATAATTTCTGCAATCTCTTATGTTTTATAAATAGCATATTAGCCTTCTAATGGACCCCAATCCTATTTTGGCATTTGGATCACATATATTCTCATTAAAAACTTTTCGATGGACCCCTAAGTCAGTTGTTCCTGATTTTATCGGGCCTCTTCTTAGTAAACATTTAACAAGCAGGCACATTCTATGAAATGTGCACAGGAATCTTGAGTGACCTCATGATGAGAACTTCTTCCACATTGACTATTACATGGAGCTACTAAATAGATAGGTGGAAATTTATGGGCATTCGCCTATGTATGAGTTCATTGTTTGTGCAATAAAATTTGCTTGGACCTATTAGGGACCTTAGGATGAAGGCATTTAGCTTTGATTTAGTTTTCTCCTTTATCCTTTACTTCTTCCATTATGTTATATTAGAATTGCCTCCTTTCTTACGGTTGTGTTTTTTGTTCGTTTGTTTGTTTTTTCTTTTTAAAATCCCCAGCTACCATTCTTGGTTTAGGACCTCATCACCTCATGCTTCTTTCCCAAATTAGCATCCTAGTAGGCATTCATCGTTCCAGTTTCTCTACTGAAGAGCA